>NC_000013.11:72953560-73105075 GCF_000001405.40 Homo sapiens | reverse complement strand
AGAGCAAGATCCTGTCTCTAAAAAACTAATAATAATAATAGTAATGATAATAACAAATTGAGGTGCTGTGAAAAGTCCTGACATATCATCAGACACCTTTTGGAAGTTGAGGCATTATTCAACAGAATTTTCTTTTCTTTTCTTTTTTTCTTTTGAGATGGAGTTTCACTCTTGTTGCCCAGGCTGGAGTGCAATAGCACAATCTCCACTCACTGCAACCTCTGCCTCCCGGGTTCAAGCGATTCTCCTGCCTCAGCCTCCCAACTAGTTGGGATTACAGGCATGGACCACTATGCCCGGCTAATTCTGTATTTTTAGTAGAGACTGGAGTTTCACCATATTGGTCAGGCTGGTCTTGAACTCCTGACCTAAGGTGATCCCCCCCGGG
This sequence comes from Homo sapiens, assembly GCF_000001405.40. NCBI lineage: Eukaryota > Metazoa > Chordata > Mammalia > Primates > Hominidae > Homo > Homo sapiens. Next base: position 73,104,687 of record NC_000013.11, on the reverse strand, counting down.
GCCTCAGCCTCCAAAAGTGCTGGGATTACAGGCGTGAGCCACTGCACCCGGCTTCAACAGAATTTTCTAGGAACATTATTCAGTTTCCAATCAAGAAGAAATTTTCAGTCATTTCTTTTGACTAACCCATCATGTCCATATTTAGACCTTTCTCTAGTGCTTATCACTAAAGTACCTATGTCCTCAGGAAGAGATATTATAATGAAAATCACAGCCAGTTGTTAAGAAGCCCTGCTGGGCCTATGCACCAATGACCAGATTAAGGATGAGGACCTATGAACTTTAATCCTGTCACTCACCTATTGGATAGCCATCGGCAATTTACCTTACCCTATTGTGCTCATGTTTCCATTTAAAAAAAAAAAGAAGAAGGAGGAGGAGGAGAAGAAGAAGAAGCCAAGCGCAGTGGCTCAAGCCAGCACTTTGGGAGGCTGAGGCTGGCAGATTACCTGAGGTCAGGAGTTCAAAACCAGTCTGGCCAACACGGTGAAACCCCGTCTCTACTAAAAATACCAAAATTAGCCGGGCTTGGTGGCTCACTCCTGTAATCTCAGTACTTTGGTAGGCCGAGGCAGGCGGATTACGAGGTCAAGAGATCGAGACCATCCATCCTGGCCAACATGGTGAAATCCCATCTCTACTGAAAATACAAAAATTAGCTGGATGTGGTGGCACGTGCCTGTAATCCCAGCTAATTTGGAGGCTAAGGTAGGAGAATCGCTTGCACCCAGGAGGCGGAGGTTGCAGTGAGCCGAGATCGTGCCACTGCACTCCAGCGTGTCAACACAGAGAGACTCTGTCCCAAAAAAAAAAAAAAAAAAAAAAAAAAAAGAATCAAAACAGTACTTTTACCAGTGAAAAAAATGTTAGGCATTTGTGGGGCTAACTTAGTTCAAGTGCCTGAAAGCCTTTACAAAATGGACGTTTTATGCAAAAACAAAACAGAAAGAAGAAGGAAAGTCAGATTAGTGCCAACAGATACTTCATCACCTTCAGCTGCTTGATAATATTCTTTATAGGATACCTTCTCCAGTCAACAATAGAAAAGCAATACCTCCAAAATACATTTAAATCTATAAAAAGGAACTGATAGAATCTACTGCTTCAAGCAAAATCAAATATAAAGAACTGACAACATTCCACTTCGAAAATAAAATTTTTGTTACTATGGGCTTATCTGTGCTAATTCCCACTCTTTGCTGATAAAAAGGTAACCCATCAGGATTTAAACATTTCTTCAAACCAAGCAACCTGTTGAACAACTTCTTAATGTGCCTATCAATCATCTGGTGATAAGAAGAGTTTGCATTTATATTAGCTAGTTGCTAAAATAAATATGAGTTACTATAACTAATTCAATCAACAATGGGACTTCAGAGGTCAGCAGAGAAATAATCAAACAATAAGTATGAATAGGTTGTAATTTTTCTGATTAACAAATGTTCTCCTTGTCATAGGATGTTAAGAGCTGCTTAAAGCGCTCGGGTAAATTTAGAATGTATGTATTTACCTTGGAGGGGTCTGTGTGCACACTCCCAATTAGAAACCCATGAGCCTGTAAGTTTTGCAGACACCAGGTTTTGCTTTCGGAAAACGTGTCTCTATATGGTATTTATTTTTAACAGGCTCCAGTGCCACAATTGATAGAAACCAACAAAGATCAGATAAAATCCCAGCCCCACTTTTTAAAGACATTCATACTAGACTATTCCAAAAGTATTTTAGAAACCAGTTGATGTGTTAAAATTTGATAATTCTTTCTTCTTTTCCCAATTAGAATTACATTCTTTACCATGGAGGGGAAGAAAGATACTTGGATCCTGAGTCAGGATTTGTCCCCCTCCAAACAACCAATGTCAGTTGGAGAGCTGAAGGGTAAGGTCAAAAAGTTGATCATATCTTATTGTCATCACACGTTTACAATCTGACCAAAATGTAAGATCTAGGTTTCTACTGCTCTTGATTCCTCATATCTACTACTGTCCCGTTTTAAACCCAGAGAAGTACAGCAGCAGTAGCAAATAACGTTCAGATGCAAAATAGAGCAGTAAGGGTAAACGTTTGGGGGTTAGGCAGTGGAATTAACAAAAGCAAAAAATAAAGGAAACAAACAAATGGGAACTAAAGGTATCAGTGATTAATCAAATAAGAATAATTTCGGCCGGGCACGGTGGCTCACGCCTGTAATCCCAGCACTTTGGGAGGCAGAGGTGGGCGGATCACGAGGTCAGGAGATCGAGACCATCCTGGCTAACACGGTGAAACCTCGTCTCTACTAAAAATACAAAAAATTAGCCGGGCATGGTGGCAGGCGCCTGTAGTCCAAGCTACTTGGGAGGCTGAGGCAGGAGAATGGCGTGAACCCAGGAGGCGGAGCTTGCAGTAAGCCGAGATCGCACCACTGCACTCCAGCCTGGGCGACAGAGCGAGACTCCGTCTCAAAAAAATAAATAAATAAATAAATAAATAAAATAATAATAATTTCTGCCTTTAGTTTAGACACATAACTTCATTGCGATCCCAAATTCTAATGTTTTTAAACAGCTGGTTGGTTTAGCCTTCTCTTGGCCATAATAATTTACCATGGAGTTTTAGGGCTAACTAAAAGAATGAATGGAATGAATGAATTGGATGAATGACAGTGGTTGACTTCATATACTGATGCTTGAGGCATCATTGTAGATTCCTGCAGAGAAATTCAGGTGGACAAAAACCCCCTCCTTTTAGGAACATGGGCTCATTTCAAGCATTTAAGAGTGATTGGGATTAAGGTCTCAGAAATACAGAAAACTGAAAAATGTGCCACGTGACATGTATAAAGGAAGCAACTGACACAAAATGACTGTTAAATGCCTAGCTATGAAAGCATAAATGTCATTAGACAGTCAGCTTCTTCTCTGGAAACTAGATTTTAATAGGTTTTTGATTGACACCTTTCTTCTTGTTTCTTTATTACTCACACCTTGGAGGGATTTGCTTTCAAAAGGATTTGCTTAAATTTCCCCCTCAAAATCCAATTTGCAAATACACCTGCAATTGCATTTTCAATATGTACAGTCACACAGGTGCTATCTTTTGCATGCGAAAGAGTCCAAGCTAATAAGTCTGCCCAGGGCAACCCAGCCAACCCAGCCACACATCAGAGTCCAGGGGACTGATTCCTGCAGCAGGGAAAGGAGTGGAAGAATTGAGGCCATTAGTTAGCTCCCCTGGGCTGAAAGTCCACTTGGAGTGAATTTGGAATTATAGACATACCTTCCTATAATTTAAGTGTTGGGCCTGAACTCTGAATAAATAGATCAAATTTAGGTTTCAGTTTCACTGGAGAAAAATCTGTCCAGAAAATATTTTCCCGATACTTGGGAAAAAGATATGAGTTGAAATGACCATGGACTATTGAATCCACAGTTTTAAACTGTTTTCTGTAGCAGTTCAAAATGGTAAACTCTGATTGTGCATATTCAGTGACTTTTCATCAGTCAACAAATATTTTTGAATGCCTAGTGTGTGCCTAGCTTGCATCAGGAGCAGAAAGAAATAAAAGGAAGCACCGATCTCAGTGAAGAAGGCTGAATTATATCTATTAATAACCAAATCTGTGTAGCACAGATTCAACCTAGTTGTTAGAAATGAAAAGCTGTGACAGCACGCTGCCACGCCGACGCAGACCACTCTCTGCATGCCAGCCCGCCCGCACCCACCATGGCCACAGTTCAGCAGCTGGAAGGAAGATGGCGCCTGGTGGACAGCAAAGGCTTTGATGAATACATGAAGGAGCTAGGAGTGGGAATAGCTTTGCGAAAAATGGGCGCAATGGCCAAGCCAGATTGTATTGTCACTTGTGATGGCAAAAACCTCACCATAAAAACTGAGAGCACTTTGAAAACAACACAGTTTTCTTGTCCCCTGGGAGAGAAGTTTGAAGAAACCACAGCTGATGGCAGAAAAACTCAGACTGTCTGCAACTTTACAGATGGTGCATTGGTTCAGCATCAGGAGTGGGATGGGAAGGAAAGCACAATAACAAGAAAATTGAAAGATGGGAAATTAGTGGTGGAGTGTGTCATGAACCATGTCGCCTGTACTCGGATCTATGAAAAAGTAGAATAAAAATTCCATCATCACTTTGGACAGGAGTTAACTAAGAGAATGACCAAGCTCAGTTCAATGAGCAAATCTCCATACTGTTTCTTTTTTTTTTTTCCATTACTGCGTTCAATTATCTTTATCACGAACATTTTACATGCAGCTATTTCAAAGTGTGTTGGATTAATTAGGATCATCCCTTTGGTTAATAAATAAATGCGTTTGTGCTAATAAAAAAAGAAAAAGAAAAAGAAAAAAAGAAAAAAAGAAATGAAAAGCTGTATAAAACGACTTAGGATTCCATTGCAGTAAGAACCTTATATAATCTTAGAGGAAAACAGGGCCATCTTTTAAATTTTATTTAAAGCTAAGCATACAGTTGGCATTTACTAACTGAATTATAATAATTTTAAGCACTGGATTTTATTCCAACTAACTTTATTATTGACTAGGCCAGATTGACTATTAGTTTTCAATTAATCTAACAATTACAAGAGTAGATTATAAAAGTATAATATTCCTACCCTTGAAACTTCCTACAGCACTCCTGATTCAGAAGTTCTTTTTGCTGTTCGTTTGCTTTTTTGAGACAGAGTTTCGCTGTTGTTGCCCAGGCTGGAGTGCAATGGCATGATCTCAGCTCACCGCAAACTCCACCTCCCAGGTACAAGTGATTCTCCAGCCTCAGCCTCCCAAGTAGCTGGGATTACAGGTACGCACCACCACGCCTAGCTAATTTTGTATTTTTAGTAGAAACGGGGTTTCTCCATGTTGGTCAGGCTGGTCTCGAACTCCCAACCTCAGGTGATCTGCCCTGCTCGGCCTCCCAAAGTGCTGGGATTACGGGCGTGAGCCACCACGCCCAGCCTAGGAGTTCTTTATTAAAAGATGAAGATATATTTTTTTCCTTGCTAATCAATAAGATAATACACTTCGAATGTTTACTTTCCTCTGTATAGGTCTAAACTATAATGTCTGATATTTCCGAATTACAACCATTTCCATGTTTAGAATATTTTCTTTTTTTCCTTTCTCAGACTCCAAATAATTCCTACTTCCTTTCTCTGCACTATCCCTGCCCTGATACTAATAGTCTGGGGCACCTTCAGTTTTTGGTTTTTTTCTTCTCCTATCCAGTCTACCCCAAGAAGTTTTTTGTTTTGTTTTGTTTTGGAGATGGAGTCTTACTGTGTCACCCAGGCTGGAGTGCAATGGCATGATCTCAGCTCACTGCAAAGTCCACCTCCCAGATTCAAGGGATTCTCCAACCTCAGCCTCCCAAGTAGCTGGGATTACAGGTGTGCACCACCACGCCCAGCTAATTTTTGTATTCTTAGTAGAGATGGGGTTTCACCATGTTAGCCAGGCTGGTCTTGAACCCCTGACCTCAAGTGATCCACTCATCTTGACCTCCCAAAGTGCTGGGATTCAGGTATGAGCCACACACCCGGCTCCATCCCTGAGAAATCTTAAAATCTACATTCACACAATTGCCATTTTATATCACAGCAGTAAAATACCTTTGGTACCTAGCATTCAACAATAGCTTTGTGATTACAAGTGAGGGTGTGGGAGGGAGAGGAAGGCAAAGTGTATTCATTTGTCACATTATCCCAAAAAGAAATATTTACTTTTTTTTTTTTTTTTTTTTTGAGGCGGAGTCTCACTCTGTCGCCCAGGCTGGAGTGCAGTGGCGCGATCTCGGCTCACTGCAAGCTCCGCCTCCCGGGTTCATGCCATTCTCTTGCCTCAGCCTCCCAAGTAGCTGGGACTACAGGCGCCCGCCACAACGCCCGGCTAATTTTTTGTATTTTTAGTAGAGACGGGGTTTCACCGTGTAAGCCAGGATGGTCTCGATCTCCTGACCTCATGATCCGCCCGCCTCAGCCTTCCAAAGTGCTGGGATTACAAGCGTGAGCTACCAAGCCCAGCCTATTTACATTTTTAAAGAAAGCTGATTATTTCCAAAAAGAGAATAAGAAAGAGGAATTTAGCAAGTTCTCATTTTAGCTCAAGGTAATTTTTCTTTCTACAGGACGTTTGTCTCATGTGAACAATTCTTACATGAAATTTCTTTTAATACATTATAAAATTTCTATTTCTTCATTATATCCATGATAGCCATTTCTTTTTTGTTTGTTTTGAGACAGGGTCTCACTCTGTCACCCAGGCTGGGGTAAAGTGGTGTGATCAAGGCTCACTGCAGCCTCAGTGACGTGGGAGTGGGATTGGGAGGCTGAGGTGGGAGGTGGTCCTGGGATTACAGGCACACACCACCACGCCCAGCTAATTTTTGTATTTTTAGTAGAGACAGGGTTTCACCATGTTGGCCAGGCTGGTCTCAAACTCCTGACCTCAAGTGATCCACCCGCCTCAGCCTCCCAAAGTGTTGGGATTACAGTCATGAGCTACCGCACCCAGCCGATAGCCATTTCTTCATAACATCTGGTTCAAGTTCAGATATTACCAGAAAGTTGATTATTTTCTGTTTTTTGTTGTTGTTGCTGTTGTTTTTTTTGTTTGTTTGTTTTACTAGCAATGCTCTATTTAACATTTAAAAAGTTTAAAATAGGCCAGGCACAGTGGCTCACACCTGTAATCTCACCATTTGGGAGGCCAAGGCTGGAGGATCACTTGAGGTCAGGAGTTGGAGACCAGCCTGGCCAACATGATGAAACCCCATCTCTACTAAAAATACAAAAATTAGCCGGGCATGGTGGCACGCACTTGTAATCCCAGCTACTGGGGTGGCTGAGGCAGGAGAATCACTTGAACCTGGGAGGCGGAGGTTGTGGTGAGTCGAATCGAGCCACCATACTCCAGCCTGAGCAACAGGGAGAGACTCTGGCTGAAACAAACAAACAAAAAAGTTTAAAACGATTCTAAAAACAACTGGATATAGTCTTTCTGTTTAGCTCATGTATTTTATTTTGTATTTATTTTGTATTTATTTTGTTTTTTAGAGACAGGGTCTCACTCTGTTGCACAGGCTGGAGTGCAGTGGCCTGATCATAGATCATAATTCATTGCAGCCTCAAATTTCTGGGCCCACCTCAAACCTCCTGAGGTGGATTTGCCACCATGCCACGCTAATTTTTTTAGTTTTTGTAGAGACAGGGTCTCATTATGTTACTTAGGCTGATCTCAAACTCTTGGGCTCAAAGGATCCTTCTGGCTCAGCACCCCAAACTGCTGGGATTACAGGCATGAGCCACCTGTGCCTGGCTAGCTTGCATATTTTAATGTTGCCGTTATATCCAATACTGTAAATAAATTCTAAGGGCTCCACAAACCCTTGGGGCTGGTGTGTTTGCACATATTCTTACCTTACTCCTGGAGTCTGCCTCTATTGTTAGACTTATCACTCTCTATTGTCATGGGTATTTGTCTATCCCACTAGATTGAGAGCTCCTTGAGGGCAAGACCTGTGGTTAGCATCAGATCAGGTTCTAAGGAGATAATTCGCAGGTGTTTGGGGAGTAAGTAAGTGAATTCCTTTGTGTTTGAGTGCACTGGAAGATTGTTCTCACCCACATTCCTCTTCCACTCCCTCTTTGCTCTCCATATACCATCTGATCTCCCTTCATTTTCCTGTGCGCAGCCCCCTGCTTCTCTCCCAGCGTAGGCCTACTCCTGACTTTCTGATCTCTCCGCTCGCAGTGCTGGAGACTTCAGGCTGGAAGCCTCAGGGAAGGCCTGCCCTGGGTGGCTCACCACAATTATGTGAGTTGCTAATCTTGATGTCATTGCTTGTCCTTTGGATATCTAAGGTGTCCCACTAAATAAGATCACTAAGTGACCTTTAAGATTCCTAACAATTCCAGGATTGTAAGATAAAAGAATTCAGGTCTATTCATTTTCATAGAAATTCCTGCTTCTGATACCAATGAAGTAGCAAGTCCTTGTCCTTTAGAGTCAGTCTACAAGTCAACCGTGGAAGGCAGGGAGGAAAATGTAGGCTCTAAAGAGAAGAGTAAAAATACATAGACAACATGGACGGATAGTCAGACTCACTCCCAATCTCTGCCAAAATTTGAACTCATCCTTCTCCCTTGTCCCTTTGCCGACCCTGGAAGGAATTTACACTAAATGTTTGGACTATCTGCCCAGGTATCAGAATTGCCTGGAACACTTGTTAAAATTCAAATTCCTGAGGCTCCTGCTGTACTCTTTGGAGGCTGGGGGCAGCACACCCCAAATTCTGAGTCACCGAGGCTGGAATGGTGCCAGGAATGCAGATGTTTAACTAGTTCCTCCAATGATGACACCTGGCCAGATTTAGAAACCAGGGACCTAGGGCAAGACTCACTAAAAAAATGCCAAGACCTTACCTCCTCCAAGGCTCCTGCAATCTGCCAGTAAGTAGATTTTGAGTAACTGAGGAGCTTTAACACTTGGCTATTAGATTAAAGTGGGTTTTGGTAGAGTGGTCAGAAACAAATAGGAGACGGCAAAGAGTTGAACTCAGCTGGGAAAAATCTAATGAGCTTTTTTGTTGTTGTTTTAAAGAATATACAATATGGCCAGGTGTGGTGGCTCACCCCTGTAATCCCAGCACTTTGGGAGGCTGAGGCAGATGGATCACCTAAGGTCAGGAGTTTGAGACCAGCCTGACCAGTATGGTGAAACCCTGTCTCTACTAAAAATACAAAAGTTAGCTGGGAGTTGTGGCAGGCTTCTGTAGTCCCAGCTACTAGGGAGGCTGAGACAGGAGAATTGTTGAACCCGGGAGGCAGAGGTTGCAGTGAGCTGAGATCACACCACTGCACTCCAGCCTGGGCGACTGAGTGAGACTCCATCTCAAAAAGAAAAACAACAACAACAACAAAAAATTAGCCAAGTGTGGTGGTGCATGCCTGTAATCCCAGCTACATGGGAGGCTAAGGCAGGAGAATCACTTGAACCTGGAGGCAGAGGTTCCAGTGAGCTGAGATCATGCCACTGTACTCCAACCTGGGTGATGAGTGAAACTCTGTCTCAAAAAATATATAAAAATTAAAAAATAAAAAATATATATACAATATGATTTGGTGACACAAAGAGGCCTCCACAGGCTGGAGAAAGGACCCCATCCAAGCGTAAGCATCAGAAAAGCAGGTTGTGTTTGTCTGAATGAAGAGGATGAGAGGGGTTTAAGAACATGGGAGCAATTACAGCACAGCCATGAAATCAAACATGAAAAAATTGGAAGGCATTTTTTCAACAAAAATCTAATAAGCACCCATCTGCCACGTTCTAAGGTGCTAAGCTTAGGTGCTCAGGGCTCAAGGCCCTCCACGCATGGTCCTTGCCTTAAAGAAACATAACCCAGTGAAAACCTCTGATATCAGCCAAAAGCAATTAAAGCACTTAAGGCCAACTTCATTTTACAGAAGAACATCAGGAATGGAGCATCTAGGAATTTCTCATTTAAGCTCCAGGATTCTGATTCCCCGACGGGGAGATGAAGTAGTTGCTTTGGCCGGGCACGGTGGCTCACGCCTGTAATCCCAGCACTTTGGGAGGCCAAGGCAGGCGGATCATGAGGTCAGGAGATGGAGACCACCCTGGCTAACACGGTGAAACCCTGTCTCTATTAAAAATACAAAAAATTAGCCGGGCGAGGTGGCGGGCCCCTGTAGTCCCAGCTACGCGGGAGGCTGAGGCAGGAGAATGGCGTGAACCCCGGGGGGCAGAGCCTCCAGTGAGCCAAGATTGTGCCACTGTACTCCAGCCTTGGTGACAGCGAGACTCTGTCTCAAAAAAAAAAAAAAAAAAAAAGAAAAGGTAAGCTAAATGAAAAGTTCAGACTGGGTAGAATGGCTCACACTTGTAATCTCAGCCCTTTGGAAGGCCCAGGTGGGAGGATCACTTGAGCCCAGGAGTTCAACACCAGCCTGGGCAACTTAGTGAAAACCTGTTTGTACAAAAAAAAAAAAAAATAGTTGATTTTAAATTTAAAAATGTTATCCACTGTCTTGTCCTTTAAATAAATAAATAAATAAATAAATAATATAAAAATTTTAGCTGGACATCATGGCCATGTTGATAGTCCTAGCTGCTCAGGAGGCTGAGCTGGGAGGATCCCTTGACCCCAGGAAGTCAAGGCTCTAGTGACCCGAGTACACCACTGCACTCCAGCCTGGGTGACAGAAGGAGACCCTGTTTCAAAAAGAAAAGAAAAGTTCACTTAGTTTCTCTTGGTCAAAGAGGTAAAGGGAAATGTTTTTTTCACGATGCGTCAATTCATGTCTTTTTTTCTTTTTTGAGATGGAGTCTCGCTCTGTTGCCCAGGCTGGATACAGTGGTGCAATCTCAGCTCACTGCAACCTCCACCTCCCGGGTTCAAACTATTCTCCTGCCTCAGCCTCCTAGGTAGCTGGGATTACAGGTGCCCACCACCACGCCCAGCTTTTTTTTTTTTTTTTTTTTTTTTTGTATTTTTAGCAGAGACGGGGTTTCACCATGTTGGTCAGGCAGGTCTTGAACTCCTGACCTCAGGATCCACCCACCTCAGCCTCCCAAAGTGCTGGGATTACAGACGTGAGCCACGTCGCCCGGCCCAATTCATGTCTTTATCACCTTTCCCCCTTTTATTTTTTTTCCTTTTGGTGGAGATGGTTTCCTCTTGTTGCTCCAGTCGATCTCAAGGGATCCGCCAGCTTGGGCCTCCCAAAATGCCAAGGGATCAGCCAACCAGCCTGGGCCTCTCACCACACCCAGCTCTCTCACGTTTTTCAATAGGCTCCTGGTTTCCCTGACTCTGGCCCTTCCTGTAAACCTAACATAGTAATCCAACATTAATTGTCCTTGTTCAAAAACGTTCCCTTGCTACCCAGTACAGAACAAAATGAAACAAGTAAAAAAAACTGAAAAAATTAAACTTGTGGCCAGATGCAGTGGCTCATGCCTGTAATCCCAGCACTTTGGGAGGCCGAGGCAGACGAATCACTTGATGTCGGGAGTTCGAGACCAGCCTGACCAACATGGAGAAACCCCGTCTCTACTAAAACTACAAAAACTAGCCGGGCGCGGTGGTGTGCGCCTGTAATCTTAGCTACTCAGGAGGCTGAGGCAGGAGAGTCGCTTGAACCCGGGAGGCAGAGGTTGCAGTGAGCAGAGATTGCACCATTACACTCTAGCCTGGGCAACAAGAGTAAAACTCGTCTAAAAAATAATAATAAAATAAAATAAATAAAATAAAAATCAAGTTTAAGGTGTTTTAATTAACTTTCGCATCTACAACATCAATGACGTTCACTGTACACAGGCAAATTCTAAATAATTAAGTAGTATTGAATAATGAAAACAATTGAGAGGGTCTCTCCTTATAAGTGACAATGCCATCAGTCAGATTTCCGTAATAACTAACATTTTACTGTGGGCTGTGTGCAAATGATTTGAACATAACATTTATGTCTGAAATAAAACTCTTCAATTGCTTCTTCCACCAAGAAAAAAAAAAAGGCTGGGGAAAGAAAACATCTAATTTTAATGCAACACTAAATCCAAAGGCAGTACAGCTGTTTGGTTTTGGTTGTTTAGCTCAGCTGTTTTATTCTGAGAAAAGCACAGCTGCCCTTTGATGTTGTCTGTTATTCAAGACTGTACTTTAGGAGGGTTAAATGTATGAGAGCTCACAGACCATTGGTAGGTTTAGTTTCTCCTCTTGCTATAGTGCTATTTATTGGTCTTCCTTCTTTAAGTTTTAACATAGCCTAACATAGGCTATGTTAAAACTTAAAGGCAAACTCTTTCCCTTGAATTTTGCCTTTCTCTTCAGAATTCTGCTCCCAAGAGCAGCACTGTGGGTGGAAGGATAAGTTAGTACTTTTTTTTAAGAACAATTTTGAGAACCTATTCAGATTTAAAATGACCTTTTTTTTATTATTTATTTATTTATTTATTTATTTTAGAGACGGGGTTTCGCTCTTGTTGCCCAGGCTGGAGTGCAATGGCGAGATCTCGGCTCACCGCAAACTCCGCCTCCCAGGTTCAAGCAATTCTCCAGCCTCACCCTCCCAAGTAGCTGGGATTACAGGCACACACCACCACGCCTGGCTAATTTTTTTGTATTTTTAGTAGAGACAGGGTCTCACCATGTTGGCCAGGCTGGTCTCAAACTCCTGACCTCAAGTGATCCACCCGCCTCAGCTCCCAATGTTCTGGGATTACAGGCATTAGCCACCATGCCTGGCTAAAATATATCATCCATATTTGGATGATATTTAAAAACTATTAGCTGGGCATGGTGGCACATGGCTGTAATTCTAGCCACTCAGGAGGCTAAGGCAGGAGGATCCCTTGTGCCCAGGAGTTTGAGGCTGCAGTCATCTTTAAGTGGTACATACTAAAATGTATATATTCTTTTCTTTTTTTTTTTTTTTTTCCGAGATGGAGTCTCACTCTGTCACCCTGGTTGGAGTGCAATGGTACGATATCTGCTCACCGCAACCTCCACCTCCCGGGTTCAAGCAATTCTCCTGCCTCAGCTCCTGAGAAGCTGGGATTACAAGCGCCCACCACCACTCCTGGCTTATTTTTGTATTTTTAGTAGAGATGGGGTTTCACCATGTTGGCCAAGCTGGTTTTGAACTCCTGACCTCAAATGACCCGCCCTCCTTGGCCTCCCAAAGTGCTGGGATTATAGGCGTGAGCCACTGCACCTGGCCTACATACTAAAATATTTACAAATGAAATTATATGGTGTCTGAGGTTTGCTTTCAAATAATCTAGGGGAGGGAAGACAGGGAAGAGTTGAGAGTACAGGTAGATTAAAGTTGGCTGAGAGTTGATCATTGTAAAAGCTGGGTAAAGAGGGTGAGTATTCATTATACTTTTCTATTTTTATATTTGTTGCAAACTTCCATAATAAAGAGGTTTGGTTTTTGTTGTTGTTTTGTTTTTTGAGACAGAGTCTCATTCTGTCACCCAGGCTGGAGTGTAGTGTCGTGATCTCAACTCACTGCAACCTCTGCCTCCTGGGCTCAAGTGATCCTCCCACCTTAGCCTCCCCAGTAGCTGGGATTTACAGGCACCAAGTCACCACACCTGGCTACTTTCTGTATTTTTGTAGAGACAGGGTTTCGCCATGTGGCCCAGGGTGGTCTCCAACTCCTGGGCTGAAGGGATCTGCCTCGGCCTCTCAAAGTGCTGGGATTACAGGTGTGAGTCACCATGCTCAACCCATAAAAAAGGTTTTAAATATGATAAATTTAAAAACATGAATGTTTAAATACCTTGATCCCTGGTTCCTCATTTAGCGATCTATCCTACAGAAATACTCAAACACAGGCCAGGCTGCAGTGGCTCACACCTATAATCCCAGCACTTTGGGAGGCTGAGGTGGGTGGATCACTTGAGCCCAGGAGTTCAAGACCAGCCTGGGCAACATGGCAAAACCCTGTCTGTACAAAAATGCAAAAATTAGTCAGGCACTGTGGTGTGCACCTGTAGTCCTAGCTACTCAGGAGGCTGAGGTAGGAGGATCACTTGAGTCTAGGATTTTGAGGCTGCAGTGAACCATGATCACACCACTGCACTCCAGCCTGAGGGACAGAACGAAAGCCCATTTCAAAAAAAAAAAACACATGCACACATTGTGGAAAAAGATGTTTCCTTTGACATTGTCTGTAACAGCAAATAACTGGAAACTGGATTCATGTCCAACAATGGAGGAATGGTTAAAATTAACTGTAATTCATTCAACTGGGTATTTTTATGACCTCCCACCCCCAACTTAGAGTTGGTTAATAAAGGATAATGCTAATAAAAGTTAGAAGATACTACCTATGAGGACACCGAATGACATCCCAAGGAGGAAATCTCTAACTGAAGAGAGGTCTGACAGTACACTGAGGGAAGGTGCAATACCAAGCCCCTAAAAGGGGAGTAAATAATCTACTTGGAAATCTTATGGATCACTATGCCAGCAATCCTGATGACTCAGAACAGGAGAGTGCTGACAAACGCAGGGTGATGTCACCATTTCCTGCCTCAGGAAGTCGGCTAGAAGGGGAGGAGAGGCCTGTGGCAGGTAAAGATCAAAGGCCTGGAAGCATTGTTCTCTCCCTTTATTCCTGCCTCTCTGTAGGTATAATCACCAGAAATGTACTTATTACCTTCTCACAGTCACTTGTCTTATTTGGCTTGGATGAAGGCTTTTTCGAGTGGACAAAGCACTTGCTTGAAATCCTCCCAAGCTCCAGGGTTTTATCTTGGCAGCTCTGATCCTCCACTATCCCTCAAGAGACAGTCAAGATCGGCGCATCTCTCTCTGGGCAGGTGAATCCACTTACCATGGTCTTAACAGGGCTCACCTGCTACTCTTGGCAGGCTCAGGCTGGCTGCACCTTGGAACAGACTCCCGCCCTAAAGGGAGCCTGGGGAGCCCTCTAGATGAGCTGAGAGTTCCCTTCATGTCTTGTTTCCTTAATTCCCGGATTCTGATGGGCTTCCCTATATAGAGCATGCCTCTTGAAACAGGTATGCTACTGTAGAAAGAGTCAATGAGGGCCGGGCTTGGTGGCTCACGCCTGTTATCCCAACACTTTGGGAGGCTGAGGTGGGCAGATCACCTGAAGTCGGGAGTTCAAGACCAGCCTGGCCAACATGGTGAAACCCCATCTCTACTAAAAATACAAAAGTTAGCTGGGCATGGTGGCGCACACCTGTAGTCCCAGCTACTCGGGAGGCTGAGGGAGGAGAATCGCTTGAACCAGGGGGGCAGAGGCTGCAGTGAGCTGCGATGGTGCCACTGCACTCCAGCCTGGGTGACAGAATGAGACTCCGACTCAAAAAACAAAAAAAGAGTCAATGAGTTCAAATCAGAACAGCCTGCTCTGTCTCTTACTGGCTGTGTTTCCATGAGGAAAATGAGTTCCTTAACCTTCCTGGGCGTTATTGTTCTCATCTATAAATTTGCTACAGTAAGAAGTGAATTATAGGATTATAGTAAGGGAAGTCATGTGTGTTAAAGGGCTCAAGGGCCTGACACAGTACCCTGGCAAATCGTATGTTAGTTATGTCAGGAAAAACTGCCTGCGTTTCAGCACCCTGTGACCACCAACCTTACAAGATTACATCTAGTCACCTGACTAGTGACCCCAAATTCATTTGACTACCACTTTCCCCCAAAACAGCCCCTTGCTGTTTATTACGACAGTTCTTCTCTTGGTCACTGTTTATTGTGTCATTATTGTGTCATCTTTGATTAATGGTGTCTATAGCCATGCTATGATGGCTACACCTCTCAAAGTAATTATAGAGGTACAGTGGCCAGGCACCACGGCTCATGCCTTGTAATCTCAGCACTTTGGAAGGGCAAGGTGGGAGGATTGCTTGAGCCAAGGAGTTTGAGACCAGCCTGGGCTAGTGAGACCCTCATCTCTATTATTAAAAAAGAGAAAAAGAAAAAAATAAAAATGACATATAGTTATGGAAAACAAATTGTTGATTTTTTCAAAAAGAAAGACAGTATCACTTTCCTCTTAGCTAACACTCAATCCAGGAAGACCTGAGACAAGGATGCAGGCCCCTGAGTGTTCCAGCTCTTTGTTGCTTCAGATCTTCCCAGTTACTGGGCCACACACATCTACTCAGGGAATAAGCCACTTGCCAAGGTCCAGTTTCCACTGGGCCAGAGTCAGATTATCAGTAATGGCTACATACGAAACTTACCTCCAGAAAAATGTGTAGATCCTTGCTTTACATCTGTGTAATTAAATGTGCCATCCAGGGAAGGTTTTTTCCCCTAAAAATAACAAACAGGCACCTCCAAAAATGAACTTAGGCCTTTAACGCTTAACAGAAAAAAAAGTCTACCTTTTTTTTGAGACATGGTCTTGCTCTGTGACCCAGGCTGGCATACAGTGGTACCATCACGGCTCACTGAAGGCTCAACTTCCAGGGCTCAAGCAATCCTCCCACCTCAGCACCCCCAGTAGCTGGGACTACAGGCGTGTCCTACAATACTGGGCTAATTTTTTTACTTTTTTGTAGAGACAGGGTCTCCCTATGTTGCCTAGGCTGGTCTTGAACCCTTGAGCTCAAGGGATCCTCCTGCTGTGGCCTCCCTAAGTGCCAGGATTGCAGGTGTGAGCCACCACACCCAGCCAAAAGTCTACTTTTTTTAGTCCATTCACGTTTAGTGTAACAATTGATATGGTAGGATTTAGGTTAACCATTTTACTATTTTTTTCTCTTTTTTCCCACTGATGTTTTGTATCTCTCTTCTTACTTCCCTGCTTTCTAAGTATTTGAATATTTCTTTAAAATTCTATTTTATCTATCTGCTTTTTAGTTATGTCTCATTGTATTTTTTTACTGTTTTCTTGGAGATTACTATAAAAATATATATGTATATATGTGTATATATATGTATATATATGTGTATATATATGTGTATATATATATGTATATATATGTGTATATATATGTGTATATATATGTGTATATATATGTGTATATATATGTATATATATGTGTATATATATGTGTATATATATGTGTATATATATATTTTTTTAAATATATATTTTTTTAAGACAAAGTCACTCTGTCACCCAAGCTGGAGTGTAGTGGTGTGGTCACGTCTCACTGCAACCTCCACCTCTGGGCTCAATGGATCCTGCCACCCCAGCATCCTGAGTAGCTGGGACTACAGGCTCATGCCACCATGCCCAGCTAATTTTCTTATTTTTTGTAGAAATGAGGTCTATGTTGCCCAGGCTGGTCTCGGACTCCTGGACTCAAGCAACCCTCCTGCCTTGACCTCCCAAAGTGCTGGGATTACAGGTGTGAGCCACTGCATCCAGCCTATAACTTTACAGAAAGTTTACCTTTTATTTAACTTTTCACAATGTAAAGTTAATACCGAACTACTTCATGTAAAATCTGGAAACCTTCGAAACATACAAGTCCATTCACCATCTCTCTGCTTTTTTGCTATGGTTGTCAAATGTATTACATCTATTAGAACCCCCACAGACAATGTTATCATTTTTTCTTTAAACACTCATAAAAAGTTTAAATAAATTAGCTCAAAAAAGTAACATTCATAAAATATCTCTAATTTTCTTAAAGGAAAATATTCTTAGTAAAATGCCTGGAAGATCTAAGTACTTTGTATCTATCTATCACAATATTTAGTTCCTTCTTATTACCCCCAAGTAACTGGCTCTGCTTTTATTATTTTTAATTTTCAGTCTTTTAGACCTTGTTTATCTGATGCCATTCCAGGATTATACGTAGTTGAAAAAAGAAAAACAAAACAAAACATAAAATCTCTTCATTTGTTTCGCTTTTGGTCAAAACATTTGCATTGTCAGTAATGTCATAACAATCACGTTTTCAAGGCAGGAAACTAAACACATCTTTCAACAAAGAAATACCTCACATTCTGATAGGTAAGCCTTACGGGGAGAGTCTTTGATGGTCTATTGGCCCTTCCCATTTTTATAACAATCTACTCATTTGGTGGACATTTTTATGACAACCAAGACAGCATTCAAGACATCTGGAGTATAGAATGCTACAATTATAAAAGTACTCAATTAAAATTCTTATTTATGTTCGTGTAAAATGTATGAAATGTTCTGGAGAAACAGGCTGGGAAGATAACTATCTTCGCAAGCTCCTATTACAGTGATGACAAGTGTAATTTGGTACTGCAGTTCTATAAAAGCTTTGCTTCTCCGCCACCTCTTACAAGCCCTGCATAAGGTGAGGCAGAAAAAGGAGCCCCATCACTCACTCTGGCTCTATCACCTGGGTTTTTACCCACAGGTGAACAAAAGCTCCACAATTCACTTGAAGTCATGTAAGTCCAGGTGAATCCGGAACCCAAGAAAAATTAATAGTCAAAGAGGAATCAGTGACATTTTCAACAAAATGTACACTCCCAAAGCCTTTTGTGTTTGGGGGGGAATTATTGCGCTTGTTTTAGTTTTTTTGTTTCTGGTTTTGTGTCATTTTTAAGAGATGGGGAAGGAAAACCCTTTTCTCTGGAGAAATAAAGAAATTCTGTCCAGATGGGGTGGCTCATGCCTGTAATCCTAGCACTTTGGGAGGCCGAGGCAGGCGGATCACCTGAGATTGGGAGTTTGAGAGCAGCCTGGCCAACACGGTGAAACTCCGTCTCTACTAAAAATACAAAAATTAGCTGGGCATGGTGGCGTGCACCTGTAATCCCAGCTACTCGGAAGCCTAAGGCAGGAGAATCACTTGAACCCTGGAGGTGAAGTTTGCAGTGAACCAAGATCACGCTATTGCACTCCAGCCTGGACGGCAAGAGTGAGACTCTGTCTCAAAAAAAAGTAAAGCTCTATATCCTTGACCACACAGTTTCTATATCCACACAGAAACTGGGCAGGCATGGTGGCTCACACCTGTAATCCCAACACTTTGGGAGGCCGAGGCAGGCTGATTATGAGGTCAAGAGATGGAGACCATCCTGGCCAACATGGTGAAGCCCCATCTCTACTAAAAATACAAAAAATTAACTGGGTGTGGTGGTGGGCACCTGTAGTCCCAGCTACTTGGGAGGCTGAGGCAGGAGAATCACTGGAACCCGGGAGTCAGAGGTTGCAGTGAGCCGAGATCATGCCACTGCACTCCATTTTGGTAACAGAGTGAGACTCTGTCTCAAAAAAAAAAAAGAAAAGAAAAAGAAAATTTGCTGTACTTACCATCTTTTTTCATTTAGTGCTTTCACGTAGATGTCTCCTCAGGTAGACACAGGGATAAGATACTAATCTAATACACAATGATATGAGGGCCAATTAATCATTCCATTTTGTTTCAGAGTTGTGACTTCTTAGATAAAATATTCTATGTAAACACACAAAATATATGATTAACTTTGCTCATTTTAGGGTCAAAGAGGAAAAAAATCACTTTATTTCTTTTTTAAGTCTTCATTCCTTTCACGCACATAAGAAACTGATGTACTTAGCAAGGTGTGTTCATTTAGGTCCAGAAGATTTCAGAGGTGGCCTTGAATCCTATTATATAGATCCTAGTGTAACCATTATTCAGCAAAGCAGTATTGTCAAAAACATTTTTCAATTTATTTATATCCAAACTTTAAAATGCTCTCATATTGATTTTAAGGCATTTCCAACTGCAACACAGAACAATAGATTTTCAATAGCTTCTGGTGAGAATTCATGAACAGTGTTTACATTTTTTCACTCAGATGACCCTAATTTGCTGAGGTACCTAAGATTATGAGCTGTTTTTACAGATCCCTTTATTTAGTCAACATGTACTTACTGAACATTTACTGTGTGCCAAGTCCAGTGTGGAAAATACAGAAACACAGAGACAAATGATTCTTTCCCGTGCTTTTATTTCTTTTTTCTTTTCTTTTTTTTTTTTTAATCTTTTTTTTTTTTTTTTTGAGACAGAGTCTCACTCTGTCACCCAGGCTGGAGGGCAGTGGTGAGATCTTGGCCCACCTCCACCTCCTGAGTTGAAGCGATTCTTCTGCCTCAGACCCCCGAGTAGCTGGGATTACAGGCGCCCGCCACCACAGCTGGCTAATTTTTGTATTTTTACTAGAGACAAGGTTTCACCATGTTGGTCAGGCTGGTCTCAAACTCCTGACCTTGTGATCTGCCCGCCTCGGCCTCCCAAAGTGCTGGGATTATAGGCGTGAGCCACCGCACCCAGCCCTCTGTTTTATCTCTATCTTTCATGTTAAATGTTTTGTTCAGATATCTGTTATTTCTTAGTTGTCTGTTAATATTTATTTTTATTTTTATTTATTTATTTATTTGTGAGATGGAGTTTCACTCTTGTTGCCCAAGCTGGAGTGCAATGGCACGATCTCGGCTCACTGCAACCTCTGCCTCCCAGGTTCAAGCGATTCTCCTGCCTCAGCCTCCGGAGTACCTGGGATTACATGCGCCCACCACCACGCCCAGCTAATTTTTGTATTTTTAGTAGAGACAAGGTTTCACCATGTTGGCCAGGCTGGTCTCGAACTCCTGACCTCAGGTGATCCACCCACCTCAGCCTCCCAAAGTTCTGGGATTACAGGTGTGAGCCACTGTGGCCTGCCATCTGTTAATATTTAATAGTGAAGGACCAAAGAGTTGATTGGAAGCGCTGGACACATGTGTGGGTCTAGTCATCTGTGGGTTTCTCTGTGAATGATCTGGCTGGGCCATTTTATTGGAGAACTTGGGATTTTCCATATATTTAGTTATTTCTCTTGGACTGGTCCATTCCAAAGACTCTTTCAGCCTCCTACCTTGATAAAGACTTGGTCTCCAGCACTCTGGGAACCAAGGGAAGAAGAGAAAAAATCTCAGCCTCCTAAACAATTTAAAGAGCCTTACCAGTTATCTTAAATTGCACTAATGCTATAGTTTCTTTTTTGAGGCCTAACAAATACACTGTATTTTACATTATCAGAATGTAATTTACATTAATTACTATGTTAATGAGTACATAAAACATTCTTTTGCATAAAAAAGCTTAGCCTCCAATATGCATACATTCATTTAATCCTCCTAATTTTCTGTTTGGCATTCCTGCCCTCAACTGGGGCTTGTTTTTTTTTTTTTTTTTTTGGAGGCGGAGTCTCACTCTGTTGCCTAGGCTGGAGTGCAGTGGCGCAATCTCGGCTCGCTGCAACCTCCACACCTCCCAGGTTCAAGCGATTTCTCCTGCCTCAGCCTCCTGAATAGCTGGGACCGCAGGCGCCTGCCACCACGCCTGGCTAATTTTTGTATTTTTAGTAGAGACGGGGTTTCATCATGTTGGCCAGGCTGGTCTTGAACACCTGGCCTCATGTGATCCTCCTGACTTGGCCTCCCAAAGTGCTGGAATTACAGGCATGAGCCACCGTACTAGAAACTGGGGCTTGTTTACTCTGTTTAGAAATACTGTATCTTTCCCCTCTCCAGAAAATAAGCCTATAAATCCTCACTTTTCCACTGGGTGGGGACTGATTATTCCCTATCCAAAGTGTGTTTTTGTTGGGGTTCGAAGAGAAGTGGGGAACTAAGGAATGAACAACTTAGACAAACTGTTAACAGTCTTTTGGTTTTTTTTTTGTTTAAATTTATTTATTGCAGAACACCTCAGAGACTTTATTATTCCAGCATGTGTTGTGAATCTTCTAGATTTGGCAGGTCCTTGTTTAACCATAGGGCCCTTTTCCTACAGGTGTGTCCGAGGAATTCATCTGAGAGAAATACTGCATTAGATGCTTAAAATAGGTGAAGATCTCTTGAAACTTTAGATAGGAAGAGGTGCCACCACTTGACTCCATGGCATGTCTTTGGAGGTTCCTGGGACAGTACTCAGGAGTTTGGACACTGTCATCTTTATTCATCCAATTTTGTCCTGGGCAAGATCTTGCTGGTTGAAACGAAGTGATTTGGGGGTTGTTTCCTTCATCAAAGAAGCTGTTGAATAGTTCTGAAGGCTAGATCTTTACCTAGAAGTCTATGCGAGTTTCTATTCAATATCTATCTACTCCTACTGTTTCTTTGTAAACAAACTATAGCGATTAGACAAAAATTGGGCAGTACGCCAAGTTCCAATTGGCAAGATTATGTGAGTGGATATATACATATACATATATACATATATATATATGTATATATAGTCATTCAAATGTCTTTGGGTACCAAATAGCATTAAGCTTTAACCTTCATATTTAAGAATATTACCATTTATATGACACCAAATGCCTTCATGGGGTGACATGCACTGAGAGGGTCAGATGGAATAAAGATTGCTGATTTACAAACAAAAATGAAACTTCTGAGTTTTCATGTAACAAACTCTTCCAATCGTATATAGCTTTTATGGGATTTATTGTGCTTTTCTTCTTTTTATTTTTTTGAGACGAGGTCTCATTCTGTTGCTCAGGCTGGAGTGCAGTGGTGTGAATACAGCTCCCTGCAATCTCAGCCTCCTGGGCTCAAACGATCCTCCCACTCAGTCTCCAGGTAGCTGAGTCAACAAGCACGAGGCACGCACCAACCTAATTTTTTTAGTTTTTATAGAGACAGGGTCTCCTGGGCCCAAGCAGTCCTCCTGCCTTGACTTCCCAAAGTGCTGGGATTACAGGCATGAGCCACCATATTTTTTGTCTTAATAGTCACTGTTAAAACAGTTACAAATTTCCAGGTTTTGTCACCTATAACTTCAGTATGAGTAATTTTTAAAAAAGTCTCCCATTGATTAGTTTCACACTGTAGTCAAGAATCTAACCAAAGATGGAATTTGGTTAACTTCAAAGTAGGGACCAGATTTAGTAATAGAGAATAAAGCCCTTCTTTGTTACATTACAGCCCACGAGTTAATCCAAAAAGTTCTGGTGGGCTTAATTACAGATAGGAAAAGGAATTTAGCTAGATTTTTAAAAATATTTTTATGTAGGCAGGCCAGGTCATGTTTATCTAAGGATTCTCTAATTGGATGCCATGAAGTGACATGCTTAATGTGAGCTGCAATATAAGAATGAAATGACAACATGAAGTAGAACAAGATAACTTAGTAGTGGGGAGAATAAAAATTAACTGAAGATAGTTAACCCCAAAACATTACTTATTTGAAATCAAGTCACATAATTGCACTTGGAACCTGGTATATTGCTCAATTTTTGTCTAATTGCTGTAGCTCGTTTACAGATAAACAGTCAGAATATGTTTGAACCCAGATAGTCATTAAATGAGCATAACAATGATAAGCAATTAAATTATTTGCAACTTTGAAAAGTTGGTTAGGCATAGTTGCCTTTTGAAAATCATTTTCCCTTGAAAACTCACTAATACTGTTTAAAAATACACAAGGTATTACATGTTTGCTTGCATTATAATCACAGTTTCATGTTCACATACCTTATCAAAAATCCAACACCAACACTGTATCAACAGTGCAACATGAAGAGGAAATTTGGCAAACATTAGATGTATTCAATTGCTGCAGTGGCTTAAGTCAATTCACACAGAAATAGGAGGTAATTTTTTGACATCTCCTTATCAATCAATTAGAGCTGAATCACAAAAAGAATCTAAGAAGTTTCAGGGCAGGGGTGGACACAGTAGCTCACGCCTGTAATCACAAGTTGGGAAGTCAAGGTGGAGGGATCCCTTGATCCCAGGAGTTCAAGACCAGCCTGGGCAACACAGGGAGGCTCCCGTCTTCAGACACACACAAAATTAGCCAGGCATGATGACTCACACCTGTAGTCCCAGGTACTTGGGAGACTTAGATGGCCGGATTGCTTGAACCTGGGAGGTCAAGGCTGGAGTGAGCCACGGTCATGCCATGCACTCCAGCCTGGGTGACAGAGCAAGACCCTGTCTCAAAAAGAAAAAGAAATAAAAGAGAAGAAAAGAAAGAAAAGACAAAGGGAGGAAAGAGGGAAGGAAGGAAGGAAGAAAGCGAGGAAGGGAGGGAGGGAGGGAGGGAAAAAGCTGTGGCAAAGGAATGAAGTGTGTAATATTCTTGAGCTAGATATTACTCCAATGATTAGGAAGAGTGAGGAGTCAAATAATGAGGCTAAATAAACATGTTGCCAAAATACATAACTGCAGTTTTTTACTTCAGATCTGAGAACATTGGGGATCCCTCCCCCATACCATTTATTGTGGGAATATGTAATAGTGATACTGATTTTTCTTCACTTTTTTGGAGTGCAGTGGTGCGATCTCGGCTCACTGCAACCTCCACCTCCCAGGTTCAAGTGATTCTCCTGCCTCAGCCTCCCAAGTAGCTGGGATTACAGGTGCATGCCACCATGCCCAGCTAATTTTTGTATTTTTAGTAGAGATAGGGTTTTGTCATGTTGGCCAGGCTGGTCTCGAACTCCGACCTCAGGTAATCCACTTGCCTCAGCCTCCCAAAGTGCTGGGAATACAGGCATGAGCCACCATGCCTGGCTTTTCTTCACTTTTTTTAAACTAACGCTTTTCTTTTAGTAGTTGTAGATTTACTGAAGTATTGCAGATAATAGAATTCCTCTAACCCCATTCCCAGTTTCCCAGGGGGAAACAGCTTACATTAGTATGATATTAACAGCTTACATTAGTATGATACATTTGTCACAATCAATGAATTAATATGGACACATTACAGCCGAAAAGGGCATGGTGGCTCACACCTATAATCCCAGGATTTTAGGAGGGGAAGGTGGGTAGATCACTTGAGGTCAGGAGTTTGAGACCAGCCTGGCCAACATGGTATAAAACCCTGTCTCTACAAAAAATACAAAACTTGCCGGGCGCAGTAGCTCACTCCTGTAATCCCAGTACTTTGGGAGGCTGAGGCGGGCAGATCATGAGGTCATGAGATCGAGACCATCCTGGCTAACACGGTGAAACCCCGTCTCTACTAAAAATACAAAAATTAGCTAGCTGTGGTGGCGGGCACCTGTAGTTCCAGCTACTCGGGAGGCTGAGGCAGGAGAATGGCGTGAACCCAGGAGGCGGAGCTTGCAGTGAGCCAAGATCGCGCCACTGCACTCCAGCCTGGGCGACAGAGCGAGACTCCATCTCAAAAAAAAAATAAATAAATACAAAAATTAGCCGGGTGGCACACACTTGTAATCCCAGCTACTTCGACGGGCAGGCAGGGAGGTGCTGAGGTGAAAGTATCACTTGAACCCAGGAGGCAGAGGTTGCAGTGAGCCAAGATCACGCCACTGCATTCCAGCCTGGGCTACAGAGCGAGACTCCATCTCAAAAAAAAAAAAAAAAAAGATACATTAGTGAAATTCTATACTTTATTCAAATTTCCTCCATTCTCCCCCAGTGCCCTCCTTCTGTGCTAGAATCCCATCCACATGCCACATGACATTGTATCGTCATGTCTCTTGACTTTGACAATCTGTCAGACTTTGTGTTTGATGGCCTGATAGTTTGAGGAATACTTATCAGGTATTTTGTAGAATATCCCTCAATTGCAGTTTGTCTGATGTGTTTCTCATGATCACGCTGGGGTACATGTTTTCAGAAGGAGAAGCAAAGTTCCATTTTCATCACATCATATCAAGGGTACACACTATCAGCGTGACTTATCACTGCTGAGGTGGACCTTGATCAACTGGTTGAGGTGGTGAGGGCAGACTTACCCACTGTAAAGCTACTCTTCCTCCTCTCCTCCTTTCCACAAGGTAATCTTTGGAAGGAAGTCACTATATGTAGCCCACACTGAAGAGTAGACAGTTTTCTTCCACTCTTTGAGGGTGAGGTATCTAAAAAACTTACTTGGAGTCATTCGGCACAGATCTCTCTCTTCTGTTTATGCAACCATTTATATCAGTACAGACAAAGGGATAGTTTATACTGTATTATAATGCAATCCTGCTTTACTTTGTTGCTGACATACCCCGATTATTGTAGGGTTCTTTTTTTTTTTTTGACAGGAAGTCTCACTCTTGTCCCCCAGGCTGGAGTGCAATGGCACAATCTTGGCTCACTGCAACCTCTGCCTCCTGGGTTCAAGCGATTCTCCTGCCTCAGCCTCCCGAGTAGCTGGGATTACAGACACCTGCCACCACGCCCGGCTACTTTTTGTATTTTTAGTAGAGACGGGGTTTCACCATGTTGGCCAGGCTAGTCTTGAACTCCTGACCTCAGGTGATCTGCCCGCCTCAGCCTCCCAAAGTGCTGGGATTACAGGCATGAGCCACCGCGCCCGGCCGGGTTTTTTCATCGCTTCCTATATTCCTTCTGATATACCACTTTCTCACACTACAGGATGCTCCGGACTTGCATGTTTCCCACTCCAATCTTAGAATCAGCTGTTTCTCTAAGGAGCTCATTTTTTAAAAATTGGACAATGGTATTAGAAACCAAGATCTAGGAAACCGTCATTCTCAGCAAACTAACACAAGAACAGAAAACCAAACACCGCATGTTCTCACTCGTAAGTGGGAATTGAACAATGAGAACACATGGAGATAGGGAGGGGAACATCACACACTGGGGCCTGTCATGGGGTTGGGGGCTAGAGGACGGGTAGCATTAGAAGAAATACCTAATGTAGATGACGGGTTGATGGGTGCAGCAAACCACCACAGCACGTGTATACCTATGTAACAAACCTGCACATTCTGCACATGTACCCCAGAACTTAAAGCATAATTAAAAATAATAATAATAAACAAATAAAAACAAAACCTAGGCCTGGCGCAGTGGCTCACGCCTGTAATCCCAGTGCTTTGGGAGACCAAGGCTGGTGGATCACTTGAAGCCAGGAGTTTGAGACCAGCCTGGCCAACATGGTGAAATCCCATCACTACAAAAAACACAAAAATTAGCCGGGCATGGTGGCACGTGCCTGTAATCCCAGCTACTCAGAAGGCTGAAGCAGGACAATCCCTTGAACCCAAGGCAGAGGTTGCTGTGAGCCACGATTACGCCACTGCACTCCAGCCTGTGTGATAGTGTCAAAAAAAAAAAAAACACAAGATGTAGGTTCTAGGTGTACTTGTTGCTGCGGAATAAAACCAAATCCTAATGATTTTTTTAAGTGTTACACCAATTCTTCTTGTTTGCCTCTGATGACACAGCCTCCAGACTAGCACATGCAAGTTAACTCTCTATGGTGTTTTCAACTAAGGATGCTTAAGGTCTCGTGCATTACGTGGCCAGATAAGTATTCGTGAATTATGACTCCCTTTATGCTAATTTAAAAAATAAATCCCCCAGCTGGGCGCAGTGGCTCACGCCTGTAATCCTAGCACTTTGGGAGGCTGAGGTGGGTGGATCACGAGGTCAGTTCACAAGACCAGCCTGGCCAATATGGTGAAAGCCCACCTCTACTAAAAATACAAAAATTAGCCAGGCGTGGTGACGTGCGCCCGTAATCTCAACCACTCGGGATGCTGAGACAGGATAATCACTTGAACCTGGGAGGCAGAGGTTGCAGTGAGCCGATATTGCGCCACTGCACTCCAGCCTGGGTGACAGAGCGAGACTCCGTCTCAAAAAATAAATCCCCGTCTTATGTAGGTACGGGTTCAATGTGGCTCCTCTACAAATGTGTGGAATTGATTTCTCACTAACCGCCCTGATCAGACTCTTTATTGCAGGTAAAGAAGAAAAGCACCACATACATCTTTTAGGCACTTTTTATTTTCCAAAAAAAAAATTGTCGTTAATATATAAACATCTCATTCTCTCAAAAAATTCTACAACTATACAGCTGTTTGCTCCATTATTTGCATAGGAAATGACCACAATACAAAAATAAGAGGGAAAAAGAAGCAAAACAGCAACCGATTTCTGCTTTTCATGTAGGTGTGTTTCCACGTATAAACATTTTGAAGCCTCTTACAAAATTATTTACATCGTTTGTCATCTATTTACATCTTTTAAGAGCAACTTTTCTAACAAACAAAACTATAATTTATCAAGTTATGAAAATTGTCTTCTAAAAAAACTTACTATATTACCACAAAATAAATAAAGATAAACAATATTTTAAAAACAAAATTAAATTTTCATTTCAATTAAGACCCCTTTTGGCATTTTGCTTATTTATTCTGCCCTTTGGTTAACAGCATCAGCATCACATTACTATTTTATATTGCATATATGTAGCATTTGCTTCCTTAAGTTTTCAACATATCATTTATATTTAAAGGCAGACACTGAGTCAGTATTAATAGATTAACTAAACTGCACTGTAATTTAGATAAAATTACTGTGTCTCACTGTGTATTACATGCAAAATCCACATAAATTGTCATTTAACCAACAGTACTGCACGAGCGAACATCTCGATATATGAAAACTGCATCATCAATTCAACGTTTTGGTACTTGAAACTGCATCATAAATGCAACATTGTCATATGTGAAAACGACACCCTAAGTCCTTCTTTTTAAAAATGACATTGCGTTTAGCTTATTGTAAGAGGTTGAACTTTTGTATTTTGTAACTATCTTTAAGCTCTTCAGTTTATAATTCATATAAAATGCCTTTTGTATTTAAAATAATCCTATTTTAATCAGTGCATGAAATTTGCTTTTTTAAAGTTCATTTGAATGATTATTCCTTCCCTCTAAAGAAATGATTTTGGTAATGTTGAGAGGTACCTTACCACAAATCCTAACTGTAAGTGTATTCATGGTTATTTTCAAAAGAATTATGACTCTTCCCCAAAAGAATCCTAAAAAACTTGTAATAAACCTATAAAGCTGATTTGCATATTTACAAAATTTTGAATAGCAAATATAGGCAACTCATATATGTATATAATTTTTAAAAACCCACACATTTGTTCAATGGCTATTTGTGAATTGCCAGGTATACTGTATCTCTAAGGAATTACCTACTATTGAAAAAAACTACTCAATGCCAAGTAAAATCTTGACATACAATCCATTCTTCTTCTGGTGCCTGCCAACTGATTTGTTTACTGAACACTGTCACATTAAATGATGGTGCCTAGGTAAAAACGCTGCACACACTCCCCTCCACCCCCACCCCTTACCCATGTTGAGACGTGGCTGCCTGTCATGAGATGAGATCTGCTTGAGTAAAGCCATATACATTACAGCAAGCATTCCAGATTCTTAAAATGACCAAACACTTTGGTATTAATACAATGTATTCCCTGTTTTCTCAAATATACAAAATATACATTTCCAGTTTTAGTTGTGGTTTTCTTGCTTTTGTTTGTTTTTGTTGTTTTTACACAGGAATAGTTAGGTCTGTCATTTGAGGGAGCCCAGGGGACCTGGAACGGGTCACACGGGCAGTGCTCAGTTCTGGTGCCTCTTCATATGCAGGGCCAGGTGGTCAGAGCGCGAGAAGCTGCGGTTGCACACCCCGCACTGGAAGGGCTTGGCGCCTGTGTGCTTCCGGTAGTGGCGGGTCAGCTCATCCGATCGCGCGAACCTCCAGTCGCAGCCTTCCCAGGTACACTTGTATGGCTTTTCACCTGTGACAACGAACAAAGGAGGTAAAGCGGCCTGCTTGTAATGCAAACATCCTAGATAACACCGGAGAAGGAATTTCAAAGAAAAAAAAAATCTTGGCCAAGCGAAAGAAGGAAAGCTCATGAATTCCATTATGAGTAAATACATATCAAAGCCACTCAAAGTAAGCTAGTTAAGAGTTATTTCTTATAACCTCCAAGTATTTTTTACCTCATAAAGAAAAAAGCATTTTGTGTACCTTTGAACAACTGAAGAATAACAATTTTAGACAAGTACAAAACGAATCAGTGCCCTTATTTTTATGTACTCCTACACACATAAATCCAGGAAATGACTAGATGAGCCTGAGTGGCTTTATCATTATTGTGCAAATACAGTTTCTATACCAACAAACCCAAATTAAATTATTATAGGACTAATGGCTGTAAGGTGGGTGAGGGAGGAAAAAATTCAGAAGCTGTTGCACGAATCACCTATACATTGAATTTCATGTACCACAACTGCTTAACCAGAAACTGGTCCTAGATGTTTCTAAATTAGCCAGACAGAAGCTTGCAGCTCATCAATCAGTTCACTTGAAAACATGGCCTCCAAAATGGACTATTAGGGCATTCACTCTTTGAGAGTCACACACACCTTCACACACCTTCCTTTTGCAGATTGAAGCAAAATAGTCTGGTACTGATAACTTCACATTGGTAAAAAAAAAAGACCATGAAACAACTGTAAAAACTGACATTTGTTGACTTGTATTTAGTTTTTCTTTGTCATGTGTTACACCCAAAATTCATTCCATAAACAATTCGCCAAGCATCTATTATAGGCCAGGAACTGTCCCAAATACTTGTGATACAATGGCTAACAAAATAAAAACAGTTGGCCTCATGGAGCTTACATGTGTAATATACATCTAAAAGTCTGAAATTGTTCAACCTACCCATTCCATTCTTTCACAGTTCTCTTCCCTTGAGTATTGAGTTGGTATGTTCCTCCCTCCCATCCTGTAATGTATATTATTCCTAATGCTCCCCAAAGCTTGCCAGCTGTTTAACTTTCAAAACCACTAAATATTCATAATGTAGTCTTAATTCTCTGTTTGTGAAGAATCCTACTGGAGATCATATATTCCAGTAGGAATAAATGCCAAAACGTTCTTTCAGTGAGCATTAACTAGCAGTTCCTACATTTATGATTTTATAATTTTCTATGAATTTTTTATAAGAATTCGTGAGATAAATTTGTATATTAAAGTATTACTGGCTTACTGCTGAGTTTTATATAGATACTTTTTCACCTCTTAAATTCCCTTAAAAAAATGTTTCCTTCTGAAAGGGAGGAACCTCAGAGTTGCTTTGAACACTTGTTTAGTTCTGACGAAACAGAAACTGCACAACCTTTCTGCCTAATTTAGCAGTATCATGTTCAGGAAGTTGTAGGATTAACCAAGTCAGTCTAAACTTTAAAAGACCCTGTCCTCATCAACTGAGATTTCTACAATTTGTGGTTAATATATTTTTGTTGTCATGATAACCACTCTGACTCTCAGACAAAGAAGAAAGTGCCAAAACAGACGACATGAAAGTGGTCCCAATTTTTTTTCCCTTGAGAGTTCACCTACATTTCCCATGGTATGGATTGCTGTGCCATACTTCCTCTCTTCTCTCCTCTGCCTCTGACCCAGACAGTTTTTGTTTTAATTCCCTTTCTGGTTCCTATCAATCCACTTTAAAAATGAACATCTCAATTCTAGAAGTTTTTTCTCCCCTCATAGTAGATTCTAACCAGAAATTTAACCTAAGACACTCAAGCCATTTACAAAACAAAGTATAAATCACGTTCTGTCACTTACAATCACATAAAATGTCTGATATATAGAAATATTTTAACACCAGTAGTAAATATAGCTATCACATTTGTAGATGTAAATTGATCACAAAAAAAATTTTTGCACAGTACTATTAGTTTTTGTTCCCTGTGAAAAATAAACCACAGAAACAAACATATTGGTTAAATACTTTACTGTCATTTAATGGAAAGAAAAAGTTATTTCTGATGTCTGAGACAAGGAAAAAAATTCCTATAGTGCTCCCAATTTTAAAAGAAATCATTCTAGTCTTTTGAATTTAATAATTAAATAGCAGAACTGAATTTTCAGAGTTTATGTAAGAAACAAGGGACACTAGACTCTTTTTGTTCACTATTTTTATTGGCTATGAAGCAATAAACTGCACCAGTATTTTTTAAAGTTTACTTTACTGATTGCTTGAAATACGGTAGCCATTAAAGTTTCTAAAACATTTGGGGTTTTGCTCTCAATTTATGCACATCTATAGAGTATTCAGCCAAGAATACTACCAGTGTCTGGAATGTTAGTTACTGGGGCCAAGTCTTACCATAAAAGTAAGGACAACTATCCCCCCACTTGGGGCAGTTTCTATGGGATTTGTTCAAGTGTCAACACCGTTCAAGTAAAACATCGTAGAGGAAACTGGTACCCAATTTCTGGCCAAACAGCAGACTTGGGCCTTTCTTCCTCAGCCAGAAACACTATGCACAGTACTTCTGGGAAACCAAACTGACTTCCTTTAAGTTATATTTCAACAGGATAGAGCTTTCAAAAGTTTAATTGGATTTTTACAGAATCTCTTTCCAATACCACCAATTTAAAATATTTAGTTAAGCTCTTTCAACATCAACTGTATTTTTAAGTTCTCATGCTGTTAACGTGAAACTTTCCAAAGGCAAAAAGAAAAAAGTGACAAGTTTGTACAGCACAGAAAACAAGCTCCCACTTTATCTCAAAGTATGTGTTTTCTCATTCTGTTTTTAAATTACAGGAGTATTTTGCTAGAATCTCTAATCTTTGAAAACTATGTTCAAGTTAAACATGCATACTATCCACGCTGATAAAGTCATTAACATACTTTACAAAAATGTTAAGCAGAAACATTACCGGTAAAAGGAAAAGGGAGCAGGCACCAGCAGCCATGGAGCACATACTCCAGAGCGAGGTACTTCTCATTATCTCGCTTCCTCACAATAACCCCGTAGAGTTAGAAGCAAAACGATGAGCTCCACATTAAGAATCCTGGTCTGCCACTTTTCCTTAATGTCTCACTTAAATCTTCCATTAGCAAACACTAATACACTCTCTTTGAACGATTTAAGGAACACATACATATTGTTCAAATTCATTTCCAGATTCTAAAGCCACTTGCGAAGGTCAGCTAAGGAATGGCTTAATGGACTCACAGCAAGCCTTGAACCCCAGACGATCTGAAACAGAGAGCACAACCTGGCAGTGCCAGCCTCTGTGGGGCCTGTGGGGTCCTGAGCACTGTTCAGGTATTGCCAATTCCCAGGTATCACCTAACGATAGCTCCTTTCCCCCAGGGTAAGTGAATTTCAGTGGGTTAGTGGAACATGTTTGTAAGCCATTTTAAAAATCCTCAGCAACAAACTGAAAATTGTCCTTTTTTTTCCCCCCTCTGAATGACTTCTGAACCTATCACAATGGAATGGGAAGTTTCTCTGCTCTGCTGAACACATTCAATAGACATACCAAGGCCTTTCCCTAAAATGTTCTACATAGATTCTTCTAACAAAAGAATAAAAATCACTGATAAAATATTTATCTTAAAATAGTTATTTTAGATAATGTTTTAAAAGTTTATTGCAGCAAATTTACACATCGGTTTCCTTCCTGGTGACTAAAAGACAACTCAATCAATATCTGATAAAGCTAAAATATCATGAGAATTAAAGTCACTGTTTATTAGTGAAGGTGTAACCTGTACTAAATGCCTTGCAAAACTCAAATAAGACTTGGTTTCTGGCCTCAAAGAACTTAAAATCTTGTATCTTGTTCTGCGAACCTAAACAATCCAAACTTTTAAAGTAGAATAAATTATTTCAACCTAATCTAAACTCTTAGAACTTAAGAGTCCTTGAAGCTCAAAATGGGCTCTTATTTCAAGAGGAAAATATTTTCATGCAATTCAATAATAATTAGATTTTTCCCATCATTTGAGACTTACGAAATTTAGTCTCTGAAATAGGCTCATATTAGATTTGCTTCTAAAAATCAAAAGGGAGAAAAATAGGAAACACTTATTAAAGAAATTCATAGGAAAATGATTTAGATATCTAAGAAAAGAGATAAAGTAGGAGGATGATTTTAGCTCACTAATTCATATTTTTACGTCTATGCCAGTAATTTTCCATCAAAAACCTTTCTATTAAAACTCATTGTCACACATTTCCTATACTTGGAACAGAAGGTCCATATCAAAGATTAGTATTATTAGCATTTGTAAATGCATCTAATTATTTACCAGATAACACCATCAATATTGTGCCCATTCAACCTAAGGAAGCTGATTGCCAAAAACAAAAACAAAAGCAACAAAAGAGAAATTCCTTTCTCTCCTCAATTTATATTTATCACTTTCTTTAAAATCCGATACCTCACTCCTTCTAGAAAGCCTCTGAACAGACCAGGAGAGATCATTTCACTTCTCTGTATCCCCATCACTGAAATTTCTGTTGAGCTATCAATTTGCACTTGCACATATACTGCTTTAGGAAGGCTTCAAATAGTTGTATTTTGCCTCCTTAACTAGCTTTTAAAGTTCCTCAAGGGCAGAGACTATCTTCTATTCCTGCTGTAATGCCACACTTTCCCTAATGCATCTTGAAAACAACTCAGTTATTCTGATTAAAGAAAAGGAGGGAAGGCATAAAAGGTTCTTGTGAGGCTGTCAGCTTTTTATTCTTCTGTGGACCCTCCTGCAGCAGGGCTTTTGCCTGGCTTTGCCCTGCCCAGGACCACTGAGAGTAATCTGGTAATACGCATTTAGGTGAGAACCATGTTTTGAGCCACTTCCAGAGAAAATAATCGAATGAGTTATTGTCCATTCTGAAGTTATACAGGGATAAACTCTGTTTAAACAAATTGTCTTAGGTAGAACTGGACTGGACTTCAGGAAAGCCAAGACATACTAGAGCCCCTAGCACTGGTCAAAGGCAGCGAGGGGACTTCTCCCAGGGCCAGAAAGCACTGATCTGCCAAACCCAGAGAGGGAATGGGTGGGATCACGATGTCAGGGGTTACACTTACAGTCTACATCCTAGCAGAGATTTGGAATCTCTGGGCTCCTAAACTACTGCTACTTCTCCTCTGGGTTCCCAGTAAACATTATGAAGACTATCCCCTGTCATTAATAGAGTTAATGAAATCAAATACCAATTCTTCCGTCTCCTGATAACGAGACAACACTCGGATTCACTTTCTTATAATGGGAGTTCGCACTGACGTTAAAGTGTCAATGAGGAATTTCACCTTTTCTTTTTGTAAGCAAAACAGAAAAATCCTCTATTTTCATTTTTTCCCAGTATGGAATGAGTACTAGATAACCTTCCCTTTAATTTGCACTTCACATGGTGACCCTGACCAGTAGGTCTCCTCCCAACTCGTAAAGGTTTACCTTTTCATAAAGTAGCCAAAAATAAATTTATTCTTCTATATAGATATTTTTAGGTAAAAGTTACCTACTGTGCACTTCTAAAACTGTAACTTATCCTTAATAAGAGTTGTTGTTTGAGATCCTTGAATATAAATAATACTGGCTAACAGACTAGGAATGCTGCTACGGAGATACTTTTACTAAAGTAGGACATTATTTCTAATCTTTCACTAGAAACGATGTAGGCCATCAAGTAAACAGCTACTACATTCTATAGAACCAAAAATATCTGCCAAATTCTTGGGTGACTGTATTATTATTTTTTAAAAACATTACTCTCTACTTTCAAGACTAATTATTTCTATCTCCACTCCAGCAATTCTATTTAGTCTATGAACAAAAGGGCAAGAAGAGATTATTCATCTTTGGATTCTCCACAAAACCAGTAAAAAATATTTGCTGAATCAAATTATACTTAACTTTTGATAAGCTTTATCATCTCTAAACAATGTTTAATCAATTTCCTATGTAAATGTTTCTCAGAAGAAAGAACAAGTCCTAGAAGCAAAGTTTAATCTTCCCAGTGAGTCATTAAAAAGAAATTGCTTCTAAGCTTTCATGCTCATAAATACCTTTCCTGGGGTCTGAACCAGCAAGTCTCTTAAGCTACTACTTTAAAAAAAAATTGTTTGAAATTATCAATACACAAAATAAATTTCAAAGCTGCAAATGAAAAAAAAATGGAAAAGAATGAAAAGAATGTTTAATAAAATCTAATACTAAAGGCTAATAAATGTGATACTTCCTCTGCAATAGTTTTCAAATAGAGACTCAAAAAACCACTGAGTCCTAAATCTCTTCCTGCAAAAAAGATTTTGCCTGTGTTATCTCTACCAATAAAACAGGTTACACATTTAACCACTATTATTTCTCGATTCACATTGTAAGATCTCCATCCATTAAGGCCCAGAGTGAAAACCTTTGTATACAGTTTTCCTAAAAAGCCTTTTACCCTTTTCCCACAGTTCCACAAAAAGAAGAGTAACTTATGTTCAGAACACTGAATGTTGCTTTTAGTAAGTACCTGCAATGAAAATATCTTTATTGTCAATATTATCGATTTTTTATTTTTTATTATTATTATTTTTTCAGATGGAGTCTTGCTCTGTTGTCCGGGCTGGAGTGTGGTGGCATGATCTTGGCTCACCACAACCTCTGCCTCCCAGGTTCAAGCAATTCTCCTGCATCAGGCTCCCAAGTAGCTGGGACTATAGGCATGTGCCACCATGCCCAGCTAATTTTTGTATTTTTAGTAGAGACAGGGTTTCACTATGTTGGCCAGGCTGGTCTCGAACCCCTGAACTCAGGTGATCCACCTGCCTCCGCCTCCCAAAGAGCTGGGATTACAGGCGTGAGCCGCCACCGCGCCCAGCCAAATATTATCGAGATTTTAAAACCAAAAGCTATGTTTAATATATTCCATGAAAAATGACTTTGGAGCAAAGACCTAGAAAGGAATTTTTTTTTTTTTTTTTTTTTTTGAGATGGAGTCTCACTCTGTTGCCCAGGCTGGAGTGCAGTGGCACGATCTCAGCTCACTGCAACCTCCGCCTCGTGGGTTCAAACGAGTCTCTTGCCTCAGCCTCCTGAGTAACTGGGACTACAGGCATGTGCCACCACGCCTGACTAATTTTTGTATTTTTAGTGGAGATGGGGTTTTGCCTTGTTGGCCAGGCTGGTCTCGAACCCCTAAACTCAGGTGATCCACCTGCTTCGGCCTCCCAAGTGCCAGAATTACAGGTGTGGGCCACTGTGCCAGGCCCTAGAAAAGAAATTCATATCTAAGGATCTTTTAGTACCCAAACTGAAAGTCAATATATTCAGCAGCAAATCTCAAGTACAGATTATACGAAGTATAACTAATAACATCTTACTACACATGTCAGTAGGCAATAAAGTCTTCTGCAAAAGACAGTAAGGCAGAAAATGGGAATGTAACCCCTTTACAAACTAGGCTTCCACTAAAAATCTTTCCAGGACTTAATGTGGAAATCTTTCCTAAACAGGGAATCTTGAACACAGTGCTTTAAGAGTCCATTTTGTGAGTCTGGCGTGGTGGCTCACGCCTGTAATCCCAGCACTTTGGGAGGCTGGGGCGGGTGGATCATCTGAGGTCAGGAGTTCGAGACCAGCCTGGCCAACATGGTGAAACCCCGTCTCCACTAAAAATACAAAAATTAGCCGGGCGTGGTGGCAGGCGCCTGTAATCCCAGCTACTTGAGAGGCTGAGGCAGGAGAATCGCTTGAACCTGGGAGGTGGAGGTTGCAGTGAGCCGAGATCGCACCATTGCACTCCAGCCTGGGGACGAAAGCGAGACTTCATCTCAAAAAAAAAAAAAAAAGAAGAGTGAATTTTGTGTTCCTATGTTATTTGTACAATGTTTCCATTTTCTCCTACGGGCGTGTTTCAAATTGTCCTTTTCCATTGTCAATCTCCAGTAAGCCACTCTGGGATCACTTAGTACACACAGAGTCCAATGCATGGAGTCTGGGTCTGAGGAATACTTGAGCCAAGTGTGTGTTGTTCAAAGACTTTCTTTGTACAAATGCTAATTTCTTGCCCTGTTCCAGATAGCTGAAACGGGGGAAAAAAAAGAAAGAAAAAATCTAGAAACGTTACCGTACCCTGATTTCCCAACAGCTTTTCCATATTCTCTAAGGTTAAGTGTATATCCACGCACATGAAGGGAACCGCTAGGACTTCAAACATCTGTGTTGAGTTCATGGTTTACTTTTTCAGAACTTTTTCTCTGGTAAGAACTTTTTAAATTTCTACAAATTTTTGTTTGAAGATACAGTCAATATATTTTCCTACTGATTTCAACTTGCCTCAAACCTTTGCAAACTTAGACATTATTTTAAATGTTCATTATATTAAAGAAAAAAGTAAGGTATGTGAGCATATAATACTGGTTGCAATAGACAGTTTATCAGTCATGTTGATTTATAAAGACAAAACAGTATACTTGGGAGCAACTTTAGAGTAATAGCAATGTGTTCCGCCCCTTGTAGACATCATGAGGCATACAAATTTCAGTACAATGTTCATTTAAATGCTGTTAAAAGTACAAATATTTTGAATTGGAAATACACCACTCATTGACATTGTTACCTAGAAGCAGCCATAATTATTTCTCACCAAAGGCATGATAAATGTATACACACACATACTACAAATAATACATGCGAACATCCACATCTATAAGGGGTGCTTCTACAGGCCTTATGCTATACTATGTATGTACAGATATAAATAAAATATAATTATTCCCTAGAATAGAAGCAAATGTTTCCAGTATTGTCTAATCACACAAAGAAGACAGAACTTTGTATTATTTATATGCGATTTCCTGATAAAGAAATCAAAGTATATGAACTTAGAAGACTTGAATGCTATACTTCTGGTTTAAGAAACTGATATATCATCTACTCTGTCATCTCAGATTACTTAAAAAGTTCTATTTTGTTAAGACTATTATTTGCTTAGGTTCAATTTGCAACCCAAGTTAAAGAAGCACTTCCAATCTAAAAATCCAGAAGAAGTAATTAAACTCAGATGTAGGCTGTTTTCATTGCCTAAATTATTTTTAAAACATAAGGTAACTTGACATTTTAAAGCAATTACAATTATTTTCCAAAGAAATGCTAGGGTGCTTCACATTCTGCCTGTAAAACGACAATCATTTAAAGAGTATTTTATGTCATCAACTGTTGTGTGGTTTTTAAAGTCCTCTGATCAACGGTCCGAGAGGGAGGAGGAGGACAGAAAGAAAACCAAAAAAAGCTATTACATAAGAGAAGTAATTTAGAAAAACTGTCCTAACTGTTCTACCTGGGCCTTAAAGGGAAAGAAAAAAAAAAAACACCTTTGCTGGCTTCAGATACATTCATTTAAAAACAACAGGCGGGCAGGGTGGGGAGGATGCAATGAGAGAACAGGTAATTTTAAAAGGCATTGTCTAGAAATGAGAAATGAGGAGAAAACAACCTCAATGCTCTATGATTACCCAAGAACAGGTTTAGCCAGATGAACAAGTCTGCTACAAACCCTCCCCAAGGCATTTGAAAGACTATCAAACAAAACTTTATTAAACTGGATTACATGTTCTCATTCATTAGATGTTGAAGGCCACAATGTTTATGGTCAGGTGAAAAAGCTGATGCAAGGGACCCAAACCAGGTCTCGGTCTTCTTTTCAGTCTGTTTTTATTAGTACAAGCATTGTTAAGACAACCCACGATTAAATGTATTTGCCGGCAGGTCAAGTTCCTGAATCGCAGGTATAAGCATTCAGGGCACTAAACCCTGACGGGGTGAAAGGCTATTCAGATATGGGTTTGACTACATCCCTGCAATAAGTAGTTGATTACATCGTTATATGCAATTGTGCTCTTTTATTAGGAGACTTTAAACCCAGGAAAATGTGTTCCCTCCTATCTCTCAAGGACTTCCAAAAGTGAAAAAAACAATAGTTCAAATGTCTTTATATTTCCATTTATATTCTGTAAAAGGACATTTTGGTATTTCTACATGGAATATTTTCCTGGCACTTGTCATTTGTATTTTGAAAACTTTAAGTTGGAGTTTTTATAACATGCTTAATTCATTTGTGTTTAACTATAAAAATTTCTACCTTGGGCTGCCTATGAAGGATCCTTCCTCTTATGTAATCAGTTTGTCTCCATGCAAAAACCTCAGGCCAAAACAGCCCGCTCATTTCATAGATAAATACATAAGATGCCTTCTCCTTAAAAGCAGTTTCTCAAAAAGCCCTGGAATCTACAACATTGTCATCGGATTTTAGTAAGTAGTGTTTATCACTGGGATATCAAGCAATGCTTCCTAACATGCATACAAAATGTCTGCAACCATATTCCTCTTAGGGCTCTACCTCAGCACTGACCTTTGTTCAAAGGCTTTTACTTTTTAATGCAGCAGTTAGAGATAACTACTTCATTTATCAAAACTCAATTTCCATAGTAACATCTAGCCTCGGGAGATTCAAGTCCTCACACTAATCCAACAACCCATTCAAAGGAACTGTTGAATACTTTGGTTTCCATAGCAATGATGGAATAATACATTTTGCTAGGTCATTGCTTTTATTAGCAAACTTATTCTCTGAACTTTAGGTAAGGCTGTATTTATTGAGGGAAAAAAACACAATCACTTTATATAAGTTCTTTTCTTTAGGGCTGCTCTTTTAAGAAAATCGCAAATAGTAACCATCTATATATTTGACAATATTTGGAGTATTTGGGGGGCCTTTAAAGTATGCCACCTGGTTTCATCTTAAAATGGCTTCTGATATAATTTTAAAGTTTAAAAGCTCTTAAAAGTGCTGGTCGGGCGCGGTGGCTCACGCCTGTAATCCCAGCACTTTGGGAGGCCGAGGCAGGTGGATAAAGATGTCAGGAGTTGGAGACCAGCCTGGCCAACATGGTGAAACCCCATCTCTACTAGAGATACAAAAATCAACTGGGCATGGTGGTGGGGGCCTGTAATCCCAGCTACTCGGGAGGCTGAAGCAGGAGAATCGCTTGAACCTGGGAGGCAGAGGTTGCAGTGAACTGAGATCACACCACTGCACTACAGCCTGGCAACAGAGCAAGACTCCATCTCAAAAAAAGTGACTGCTATAGATTGAACAAAGCAAATACAAAAGTAGAGGAGCTAAACTTAAAAGCATATGTAAACAAGAATGAATGTAAGCTAGAATAAAGATCAAGTCTCTCACACATACCAAGTTTAGGCTGGGGCTTGTAACCCATTTCTGACCACCTGATTTTAACACTGCAATTTCAGCACTACCTTTCATCAAGCACAGAAAACATACTAAACACAGATATTTTAACCTAGAGGTGAAACTAACGTTTTCACCAATTATGCAGTACACTCCAAATGGGAAAGTTTTTAAGAGTTTAAAATGGCTTTCTCAGAGCAAAATTATTTGCTATGGAAGAAAATGAGTTTTGTTTTGTTTTTTTTCCTTCAAAACACTGCCAGTATAAGTTTTAAAATCCATTAGTAAACATCGCTGTTTACATTTTTGGGTAATCAACTCTGAGCGGTGACAGGGCAAGAAGGCCTTAGTGAGGGAACATCACCGGCCTTCCTGGAACCAGATTTCTCATGGAACTGAATTCTGAACCAAGCCTGTGCTGAAAAGGTAGGCTATTTAAAAAAAAAAAAAAAAACAAAGTTGACAGGAGAAGAGATCAAACACGTGTTAGCTTTTAAAAGGATGAATACCACTTACACTATTTACACAACTCACAGAATTAACAAGAAAATTACATACCAGTGTGAGTCCTCAGGTGAGCTTTTAAATGAGAAGACTTGGTATAAACTTTTGTGCAACCTAAAATAAAGGAGAACAGCATGTCATTTTGGAGATCCTTTTGAAATCTTTACATTTGATGATTCAGTGTTTAAAATCTGGCTTTAAAGAAGAAATCTCTCATGCTAGATGAGATTATTTGAAGCTTCAGTTTTAAAAGTTTTAAAGAGCCCTCCCCCATTACCTTATTAAAGGCATGAAGTGATTTGTTTTATGTATCACTTTAACAGGAAAGAATACAGATAATCAAGCCAAACTACAAATGGAAAATTTGTGTTTATATTCCAGTAGGTGCTGTACTTCCGTATTAAGAGCTGCTATATGTTTTTTTAAAAATTTTAATGGCTCTAGAGCTGACAGTACTAAGCCATTATCCAAGATGACTGTAATTTTCTGTACTCCCACATTTCTTCTTTTTTCATTTAGCACGTCATGCCATATCATGTATCAGAGTCAATAAATTTTGCCATGTATTAATCATAAACTAGCTTTCCCAGTAACTTGTAAATATATTCCATGTATTGTCTTCAACTTATACTTTGGGCCATGTATGTCATTCAAAACTGAGCATATGCTCACGTGCCATCAAAACCATTCTTAAATCTGTCTTGTAGACAGTCTTGTACCTAACATCAAGCTAGCTGCCTGCAACCTCCACTTCACCACCAAACCTTATTTTCCCCCACCCTACTTTAATCTCTTTCTGGGGCACTTAATTTAGAATTAAAAACTGCAATTTATTCAATTGCCATTTTAAAGTAACTCTGGCCTAACTCGAAATAATATGTATTAGAAATTCAAATCTGTTTTAATATTAAAGAAAAAAAAATCCAAGGGAACTTTTTCCAGAATATTCTAGCCAAGTTTTTGATGCATAACATAAGCAACAGACAACTAACTGGTTTACATACCAAAGTTAAAGCACAGAGATAGGATAGAGAAAAAAAAAAAGGTAATTTTTTTTTTTTTTACTGTCAAGTACAACTTTCCTATTTAAAGCCATGAGGTTGAAAAGGGCACGCGCGTGCACACACGCACACGCGCGCGCACACAGACACACACACACACACACTACATCTATTGATGCTTCAACCAGGTAAGAGCACATACCAGGGTAATCGCAGTAGTGGATGCGTCGTTTCTCCAAATCGGGGTTACTCCTTCTATTGTATCTGACAGGTTGGATGTTTTGTGAGTTAACTGGCAGGGTGGTGGGTAAATTTGGATTGTGAATTGCCAGTTTAGAAGCAATTGTAGCAGCATAGGATGGAGGTGGGGTTAAATTCTGGAGCATCTCTGCTTGTCTATCTGGACTTCCAGGCTCTGAGCTTGGTGGTGACGGGGGAAAGTAAGTGGCCTGTTGTGGAAGAAACTGACTTGGCATTGTGTATGTGCAAGGGGGCATGCCCTGGAATTGTTTCACTGCAGTCTGCGGAACAGCAGAGGTGTGTGTGTTAAGGCCTGCCATGGCAGCTGACATAGAAACATTAAGAGTGTCCATTGCTGCTGTCTGATTTGTAGAACTGGGCATATCTAGATCCGGTGTATTCAGTAGCTGGTACAGGTGGCCCTGCTGGGTAGGGACAGAAAGATGAAGATCTGGTGTAGGAAGTTCTTGTTTGATGAAAATATTGTTCACCTCTGGAGCTGCGGTCTGGTGTGAGCTGAATATACTGGTGAACTCAGGGAGGGCCTGGGTCGGGGCCGGAGGAGGGGCAGTCGTTTCACTCTGGTGGCTGAAAATGGCAACAGGTTCTGTCTTGATGTGTGTTACGCACGGTCTCTGGGATTTGTAGAGGCCAGTTCTCAGGTGAGTGATGTCAGGGAGGAAGACGTTCATGTTGATACTGTAAGGTAACCCTTCAGTGTCAGTGAAGAACTGGTCTACGACTGAGGCACTGTCTCGTCTATACTTTTTATGCTCTGGAATTATAGGAACTGGAGGAAGCTGAGGTGTCAGATACTTCTCCATTTCACATCTTGTCTAAAAAAGAAGAGATATAAAATGCATAATCCACCTGATTCACCATCTCGGGAAGAACGAACAATCGGCGCCTACTAAAAATTCCCCCAATCCCTGTGTAAGGTACTAGGGCAAACTCCTCAGTGTTGCTTATAAACATATCAGGCTTATTTTGTCGATTGTGTAATAACTGGTTGACCAAAACCTTATGAAACTCTGTGTAACTGGTAAAACTGCTCCCCCAATCACCCCCAAAAGTGAAAGACGCAAATCAAGAATAAAAAAGAAAGCAAACTTAAAACATTCCATTCTGATGCAATAACAAGGTACCATCACCCCTGTACAAGCAGGATTCCCTGCCCCATTACACAGTTAAGTTTGCAATTAGAGTACAGTATTGAAATGTTGCCAAACTACCTCAATTCTGTTTAAGTCACAAACATTAAAAAGCGTGGTTTTTTTTAATAGAAAAAACGATGCAAACCTTTAAAATATTGCACAGGTTTCTTTTCTTGACTAGATACTTCAAAAGTAATATAAAAATATTATTTGGCTATTTCAGTGTCTTTTCTTGTTTACAGTTCAATGAGAAATTAAACACAACGTTCTAAGCAAAACCTTGTATCCACTGAAACAAAACAATTTCACATTCAATATTTGATCTAAATGTTGATTTTCATCAGCAGATCCTGTAATTGGTTAATATGATAATGAAATGTTCCTATTCATATCCCTATCTAAAACAGATCTTTAATTACCTAGGGGAAAATCACTCCCTTGGTAGAGTGCTGCTAAGGAGCCCGTGGGTGGGGAGGCTGCTGTATCCCTAGCACAGTCATCAGCAAAACATTTATCATGTCCTTCTCAGTGGGCCAATGCTACATTCCCCCCTACTCTGTAAAAAGCTCAGTCATCCCTTATCTTCTTAGTGCCTCCAGAGCAGAAAATTGACAAACTGAAATAACCAAATACTTTTCAAACGGTGATCTCTTTTCTAGGCTATAAACCAGCTTGTAACAAGTCGCCTCAAGCCTTTTCCAGCTATCTTCTCTCCTAGTATAACTTAAGCCTACATTTTTTAACACTGAAAAGGAAATTTCGAAAGATAAGAAAACCAACTAGATGGAATGGCGCATATATTAGCTGTGGCACCTTAACAGGTAAATAAGACAGTCATTTTCTGCTACTACTTCATTTCAAATGCGTTTCATCTCGGACCTTGGTGTGGATGCGGACGGGGTTTCCCGGATAGACATGATTTAAAAATAAAAATTAACGCTCTCATCATGTGAGTCACATCTCTGACAAACGCCACTGCCCTCTCACAGCAAGACCCTGGCAGACCCCACGGAGTAGGCGCTGGGTAGCAAATATACGACACGCCAAAGAGCTACTAAATGAAGTGTCTTGAAATAAACTGAACTAAACCCTTTCGTGCACTGCGCTCCCGCGGCGGTTAGTGGTTTCTGATTTTAGCTCTTCCAGCTGTTTGCATGTGGGTATGTTTCCAATTTTTTTTTCCTTGGGACAGGCTAAAAGTCCCGGGAAGTTTTTTCTGGGCTATATGACTCCCTGCGTGGGCGAAAGAAACAGGCGGTTGCTCTAATTCGGCTGCTGGGCAAGTGTAAAAGCCAACTGCCAGCTTTCAACGCGGCTCCGGGAGGAAATTTACGTGCACACGAAGAAAACAACACCCCCGGTCTTTTTTTTTTTTTTTTTTTTTTAAGGAAAAATAAGCGCTCCGACACAACCTTAGCTTTCCTAACTCTCATTTTCCAAACGCGGCCCGCAATCGCTTCTAAAGCAGGTTGAGCCACCGGGTATGAAACCTTGGGGAACCTCTCCCCAGCACCCCAATTTGCGTTTCTACTTAACCCGAGACGATGGGGATGGGGGGGAGGGCTCCAATGCCTTGGCATTGGAGAGCGGTACAGGCGAAGGCGTAATTTAAGTAAAACTGAGCGTAAGGTACAAGGTTTCGTCCCTCAAGTGTAAGAAAAACAAC
Organism: Homo sapiens; assembly: GCF_000001405.40. Taxonomy (NCBI): domain Eukaryota; kingdom Metazoa; phylum Chordata; class Mammalia; order Primates; family Hominidae; genus Homo; species Homo sapiens. The sequence goes on along the minus strand of NC_000013.11, from coordinate 73,059,876 downwards.
TAAGGTGCGCGTGAGCACCCAGTTCCCTCCCTCTTACCTCTCCCAGGCCGACCCGCCGGGGCAGATTCCCCTCCATCCTTCCCACCCCCGGCCCCCCCCCCCATTTACTCTCAGCGAAACGCGGGGCCCCGGCCAGGCGTGCAGGGCGGGGCTGCCCACCCAGCACCGGCTCCGGTGCGCCCCGACGCACGCCCCAGCCTGGAGCGGCCCCTGTCGCCCGCGAGTCGCAGCAACGGGACACGCCCGAGCCCGGGAGTGCTGCGGTGGGAGGGGAGCGGCTCTTCCTACCTGGACCAGGTCCTCTGGAGGCAGCCGCGGGCCGGTGGCGGGCGGCTGGGCCGGCTGCGGGGCCTGCGCGGGCGCGGGCTGCGCCTGCGGGCGGTGGTGCGCGTGCTTCAGCTCCTCGCCGGGGAAGAGCGCCGCGTCGCGGGCCGGATTCGCGGCGCCCAGCACCGGCTTGAGCTGCGCGAACACCGGCTCGTCCTGCGGCGCCGGCGGCTGGGGCACGGGTCCCAGGCGGGCGCTCATGCTCAGCACCCTTGTAGCCATGGGCACTCGGGGGCGCAGCTCCAGGCGCGGGTCGGGCGCACTTCCCACCTCGCCCACGCTGGCTTGGGTCGGCGAGCTCAGCGCGGGGCTGCCGGCGGAGGAGGGGAGGTTTCGGGTGGACTCCTCAGACAGCGGCAGGCAGTTTTCGAAGGCGCGCACGAAAAGCAAAACTCTTCCGCTCTTCCACACGTAAACGCCAACGTCCTCCGGGCGGCCACTTTCTCCCGCCCCGCCCCACCGTGCTCTCAGGCTCTCCGGAGCCCGCTCCCGCCACCGCCGACCTCCGCGAGAGAACCGCGAGCGCACGTACCTGCCCCGCGACTACTGACACTTGACGCCCGCCTCTATTTCACCCAACTCCGGGGGGGCGGGGCCCGATCGCCTGATTGGCAGCGCCGCCGCGAATCCCGAGGCCCCGAGGCCGGCCAGGCCTGAGCGGCCAGCCTATGAGCAGGGAGAGAGGCAGCCAGGGCCCCGCCTCCGTCGGCCCGACCGCACCCCTCTCGGGCCACGAGCTTCGCGCGCAGGGCGGCCGCGCAGTTTGTACACAACTTCTCTGACAGATTGGGCTGGCGGAGCCGGGGGCGGAGGGAAGTAGCGGAGCGGGTGGAATCTGGGAAGAGGGGGAATTAGGGTGGAGACGCGGAGGGAGATCTCTTCGCACTGTTCTCTGCCAGGATTAGGAAGAAAAAGAGTATTGCACGTCTTAGGTGTTGTGCAAGGACCTGAAACTCAAAAGCTGAAACCCAGAAGGCAGCTAGGTAGGGGCGCTGAGGCTTTTAGAGATTTGTCTAATGAGTGTGTACTTTTAAATATCCAAAATGTACTTCTCTTTAGCAGAAAACTAGGGGCGGTGTGATAAACAAATTTAAAACAGCTCTTGTCCCTGTGTATCTTTAGCAGTGAGTGTATCCGTTTAACAAGGCAAATTCAGAATGCCTGAATAAAAGATTTGATGGCAAGCGTTTTTTCAGATCCTTGCATAAAAGCCTGGGTTTTTCCCACTCCTTCAGGATTTTAATTGCTAGACGTTTTCCCACACATTTCTACTTCCCATCCGTGTGTGGGGAGGAGGGCTTGGGCCATATGAATTTTGAAGTTTCTAATATTTAAGCCGTGTTGATTCTAGCCGAAGCATGGAATCTAATTTAAGCACGACTAGCTCAAACGTGTATTTAAATAGACATTACATCTTTGACTTATTTTTGCTAGCACTGTATGTTCAAAAAATGGACTTTAATATTTACAAAGCAGAAACCTAGCACATTTACCTCACATTGTGGCACCTTTTCCTACGAAGAGACAATCAAAAAGCCGCAAACATAGACACAGAGCAGCTCTGAAAACTGGGAATCCAAATTTGTTGGAAAGTAATAGCCAAATATATTACCATCCATTTACTATGTTGTTATAATGGGAGGGTGAATTTTTGCCAGCAATCACCTAAGGAAACCACTTCCCTTAATCCTTAATGTTCTTGTACATGATTTTATCTGGCTTATTGGGAGGACGGAACAATAAACTGCAATAAAAATGCCTGTGATATTACTACAAATGTACATATGTTGACACACAATATACCATTAGACAGTTTTACATATACCACAGCCTATTCATCACTTCAGAGTAAAACAGCTTTAAAAAAAAGTCTTGGATAAAAACGTTCACTTCAAAGAGTGTATCTATCAAAGGTATGGATCTCATTTTCAATGGGTAGAAAATTAATATGCACATAAAGAAATGTATTTATTATTAGAAAATATAAAATTATGCTGTAAACTGGGTTTTTCTCCTTTTCCTTCTCTTCCTGTTGACACATGATTCATTTTTATAGCTGTGATCACTGCCTTCAGAGAATGGCTGATGACTACTTTCATGTTATCAAAGTATTATTTAATAAGTGCTTTTGCAAGTTTTTCTCTAACCAAGCAGCCCCATGCTGTCCATCTTCATCTTTAAAAAGCTGTCCTGCTTTTCTCTAATGTAAAACCTATCATGTAATTAATTAGCTTAGAAACAGATTATAGAATTAGGATGGGATTTAATGTAACTCTTTTAAAAAATTGAGCTTTGAAAGATTTTTAGTTACTTAATTCTGATAACATCAAACCTAAATGTGATGTAGATAATTCTTAATAGAACTTTTGTGCTCTTGTAACTTTAAGCTAAATCTAACTTAGATTTAATACATTCGGTAGCTGTATCTTAATGTGCTTTTAAACCTATCTAGACCTTTCCTTTTGTCTTTTTACGAGAGCTTCAGTGGCCCGGTCTTTCAACCTAAGTTTTCACTGCAATAAAATCCATGTATTTTACTGGAAATGCTTCTATAATTTCACACCACTTTTTAACATGCTTTCATTTACAAAAGCTTTTTCATTGCAAAAAAAAAACCATACAACTAAGTTTTTAATATTTTTAGTCTTGTTAATTTTTCATATTTCCACTTTTCATAATATAGATATGAAGCTAGCGTTGGGGTTCTTATAGTAACTGAATATATTCCTTTTTGCTCCAATACAGTAGCAGGTTTTAAAATTCCATTTTGGGCATAAAGATTCATGAAATAGGGCTGCCACTTTTAAGTAATAGTTTCTCTGAAATGCCCTGCTCTGCAGTCTCACAGAAAATAACTAGCTTAGCACTGTACAATAGTACGGAAATTGGAAAGTAATCCTTTTCGGAGACATTTGCCATGTGATTCTGAACATATAAAGAACATGTTCGACCAAGTTTCCTTGCTGTTGCTTTTAACATAAATGCTACAGCTGCAAACCTGTTTCACCGACTTAGTAAAAAGGGTTAAAACTTGATAAATATTTTTCAAATGTTCCAGGTTCTACATTGGCTTGAAGCCAGACAGTGTGAATGGACAGATCCTCAATTACTTTGAACTTTCTAGTTCTTTGCATTCCTTCCCGCTTAGTAGTGCTGTACCATTAGGGAAGATAGGAGAAAACAAAAAACAAATGTCAGGTTTCAGAAATCAATTAGTGGCCTGGCAGTGGTGTGTTAACTGAACTGTGCCAAAACAGGGGATTCTGAGGGAATGAAATAAAAATGTTGAGTAGTCAAGTTAGGTAGGAGGGTAAGCATAGAAGCAGTGTGCATGCTTAAGTCCTTAGTCACTGGGCAACACAGATTTAGTCTTAGAATAAACCATAAGTGTCACTATCTTTACGGGAATAAATACGGATGAATATGCGGGGGCTGAACAGGCATTCAATGTTGGGGGAGGGGGTTTGAAGGAGGCAGTGGAAAAAAATAGATAAATAGCTTCTGAATGATGAGATGAGGGAAATATGAAGCTATCACTAGGGCAATGTTCACACAACGACACGGCAAAAGGAATATCTAAATTCAGTTGTTTGGCAAATCTAAATTCAGTTGTTTGGCAAAAACGTCACAGCTTGAAATTAAGAGGTATAGAGTATCACAGCCAACAAAACTGTATTCACTTTGAGTAGAAAAATATTCATAGAATATTTATTTCTGCCAAATCAGTATCAAATTGCCAAGTGATCTTGGGCCACAGAAAAAAGAACAAGAATAAAAATGAAAAATAAAGCTTTATACGGGAGCACACTCTTCTCTAGGGTAAGATTATTTAATTAAAGTGACTTTTTGGTAGTCATTGATTGCACACCCCTGTTAGAATCTGTATCAGTGAAAACTTAAAACTATTGTAATTATTGTCCTCTCCAACATTTCACATCTGTAGTCTTTGTATTTTTTCATTAATGGCAACCACCTAAAGCCACACATCAGAAAAAAAGTCATTAAGGAAATAGCCTGATAAATAGAAGCTTCAACTGAGATTAGTTGGAATTTAAAGCATTTTGACTCAAAAGATTACGAGACAAGAGAGAAGATGCTCTGTTCATTGCTTTTGTGATGAAAAAATATGCAGTTTAAATAAGACTAAATACTTCTATTTATATTAATTAAAATTATGTCTTAAGACAACAATTTAATATTTTATTTTTGTAATGTCTCTTGCCTCCAGTTCTTAAGAAATTACATTTTATATTTCAGTTTGGATTTTTAAATGTGTTCTTCTTAAAATATTTCATAAAACTCCCTTTATGCACTTATTCCTAAGGGTACTATAATTTATCTAGCCTAATTTTAAAACTCTAATAATATCCAAAAAAACAGGAGAGTTTTACCTTTTGGAGAGACTGGGATTGCTTTTTCCACCTTGTTAGTATAATAAGTAGACAAAAGTGACATAAATATAAATGCCTGGAACCAAGTTATAGGCCAAGCGTATTGTAGCTTAAACTGCACAGTATTTAAATTCTGACTCGAAACATGATAGGCAAGGTTAAAAGAAAGGTCTGAGCTAAAGTGGTTACACCAAACAATCTTTTAGAACATTAGGGAGGTCTCATCATCAGCATCACAATGGGCAGTGTTTTGAGCCGATTGCTGTTCATGTTATGACAAAAGCTGTAATGTACCAGGCTGTGGGGAACACCCTGTGAATGCTCAAATGAACCGTGCATGGGTCACACGGAAATACTCTTTTAGATGTTGATTTATAGATGAAGTGTGTAAAAGTAGTGCTAAAAGCAATGTGAGTTCTTCATGCCTTAACTTCCATACACTGTTGATGGTTGTGTAAACTTTAAAACTTTGGGGAAGGACAATTTGACAATAAGTATGAAAAAGGCTAAAATGTAAATAACTTTGAAAATGATAGATAATTCCTCTTCTAGGAAAGGTGTATGTGTATATATATACACACACACACATATATATACACATATATATATATATATACACACACACATATATCTTTATATATAAAATTGGGCCAGGCATGGTGGCTCACACCTATAATCCCAGCCCTTTGGGAGACTAAGATGGGAGGATTGCTTGAGGCCAGGAGCTGGAGACCAGCTTGAGCAACATAGTGAGACCCTATCTCTACAAAAATGTTTAATATTAACCAGGCATGGTGATGTATGCCGGTAGTCCCAGCTACTTGGAAGGCTGAGGCAGGAGGATTACTTGAGCCCAGGAGTTCAAGGTTACTGTGAGCTATGATCACACCACTGCACTCCAGCCTGGGTGACAGAGCAAGACCCTGTCTCAAATAATAATAATTAATTTAAATTAAAATAAAATTGGAAATAACCTAGGTTAGGTGTCCAACATTAGGGGAGTAGTTAAGCAATACATCCATACCATGGCTACTGTTATGCCACCAAAAAGTTGAGTAGTTGGAAAAAAAGGGGAAAAATTCTTATTATTAAGGAACATTTAGTGACATGGGAAAACATTCATGCTATGTATAGTCAAAGAAAGGGGTTTTATAAATATGTACCCACAAAGATGAAAAGAAAATACCAAACATGGATGTATTTTGGTGGCCCTCGTTAGATGGTTATATTATAGGTTACTGCTGGGCGCGGTGGCTCACGCCTGTAATCCCAACACTTTGGGAGGCCAACACGGGTAGATCACCTGAGGTCAAGAGTTCGAGACCAGCCTGGCCAACATGGGGAAACCCTGTCCCTACTAAAAGTAAAAAAATTAGCCGGGCATGGTGACGTGCGCCTGTAATCCCAGCTACTCAGGCGCCTGAGACAGGAGAATCACTTGAGCCCGGGAGGCAGAGGTTGCGGTGAGCTGAGATTGCACCACTGCATTCCATCCTGGGTGACAGAGCAAGACTCCATCTCAAAAAAAAAAAAAAAAAAATTATGGGTCATTATTCACTTCTGGATACTTTTCAGTATTTTCTAGATTTTCTACAATTGCTATGTATTCCATTTGTAATCAGAATAAATAGTTTAAATGAAAACATAAATAAATATTACCTTTCTACAGCTAAGGGTTAGTTGGAACTGAAGTAGTTGATGATCAAATGATTTTCCATTTGAAGCCAGTAAAGTGTACCTACAACTTGCCAATACTCTGTACTGGGAAAACATGTAAACTTTCTTAACCAAGCTGCTAGATTTTCAGGAATTTCACTGCAGAATGAAGAAGCTGAAGAGAGATTACAAAGGGGAGTTTGAAGTTCAAAAGGGATAATATAGGGAATGTCTGAAATATAAATATGCTTTAATTCATTTCCTAAGTGATCAGCAAGACTTCCTCTACACTTATTTTTACTCTGTTATTTTGGGTATCTCATTTTACTTTGTTGCTCTGTTTTCTCATATTAAATAAAATAGGCTGCTTACACTGATTTGACAAAATGCATAGACTCTTAAAACCAGGTAAAGTTTATATGCATCTTTAAAGAGGTGTTTGTGTTTGGGTTTTTAAATTCTAAAATACTCACATAGAAGATTTGGCATGAAATAGTTTCAAATGGGATGTTATCTTTCTTTCTCTCTCGCTTTTTTTTTTTTTTTTTTTGAGACAGGGTCTTGCTGTGTTGCTCAGGCTGCAGTGCAGTGACACAAACATGGCTCACTGCAGCTCCAGCCTCCTGGGTTCAAGTGATCCTCCCACCTCAGTTTCTCCAGTAGGTGGGACCACAGGCCCCACCACGTCAAGCTAAATTTTTTTATTTTTTGTGGAAACGGGGTTTCTCTGTGTGGCCCAGGATGGTCTCGAACTCCTGAGCTCAAGCAATCCTCCTGCCTCAGCCTCTCAAAGTTCTGAGATTACAGGCTTGAGCCACCATGCCCAGCTCATACTATTGTTTCTCTAAGAGCCTTGTTCTCTTTTCCGGAACATAAAGTTGTTCAAAAGTTATTCCCAAATTTGGTTACTGAGATTTCAGAAATTAAAGTGGAAGGAGGGTGGGGATGGTAGTCTACAAACTTGATATTTAAAACATATTCTAGAGGCGCAGCAAGATGGCTCACACCTATTATCCCAATGCTTTGAAAGGCTGAAGTGGGAGGATTGCTTAAAGCCAGGAGTTCAAGACCAGCCTATGCAACATAGCAAGACCCCAGTCTCTGCAACGAGTAAAAAGAAGAAACTAGCCAGGTGTGGTGGCACACGCCTGTAGTCCCAGCTACTTGGGAAGCTGAGGCAAGAAGATTGCTTGAACTCAAGAGTTTGAGGTTACAGTGAGCCATGATTGTGCCACTGCATTCCAGCCTGGGCAACAGAGCAAGACCCTGTCTCAAAAATAAAACATTTTCTATTAAATATTCAGTAGACGGCTGAATTTCTAAGGACCCGTTCCCACCCCCCAGCTCCCCACTGTCGTGACCACAACTCACACATAAAACATACATATACACCAGTCTTTATTCTAAATTATTCGGAGCATTGGTGCCTGCAAACATTTTTTGAACACTCTGTTCAACAGTGCTCTATGCAGAGCACTGTTGCAGGTCTTAGAAATAAAAAGATGAGCTGGGCACGGTGGCTCACGCCTGTAATCCCAGCACTTTGGGAGGCTGAGGTGGGTGAATCACAAGGTCCGGAGATCGAAACCATCCTGGCTAACACCGTGAAACCCCGTCTCTACTAAAAATACAAAAAATTAGCCGGGCGTGGTGATGGGCGCCTGTAATCCCAGCTACTCGGGAGGCTAAGGCAGGAGAATGGCGTGAACCCGGGAGGCGGAGCTTGCAGTGAGCTGAGATCACGCCAGTGCACTCCAGCCTGGGCGGCAGAGAGAGACTCCATCTCAGAAAAAAAAAAAAAAAGAAATACAAGGATGAATAAGATATAGTCCCTGCCCTAAGCACTGTAAGCATCGCCTGATAGGTAACCTTGCTTCTCAGATGATAGGTAACCTTGCTTCTCAGATATGTTTCATTATTTTCCTCAGTGAGGAAGGAAGTTCAAACTCCTCAGCCTGGGACCTTGTGCTGACCCCAGCCTATCTTCCCAACTTCGTATCTCACTATCCCTCCCCTGCTCTTCTCCCATGAACCTTAGGCTCTAACCGTTTGGATTATTTGTAATTTCCCAAAAGCCCCTTCGGTTCCCTCCAACTCTAATGCCTTTCTTTGAATACATACATCATTGATATTATTTGGCTGTGTCCCCACCTAAATCTCATGTTGAATTGTAGCTCCCATAATTCCCACGTGTCGTGGGAGAAACTCGGTGGGAGGTAATTGAATCATGGGAACGGGTCTTTCCCGTGCTGTTTTTTGTAATAGTGAATAAGTCTCATGAGATCTGATGGTTTTATAAAGGGGAGTTCCCCCTGCACCAGCTCTCTCTTGCCCGCCACCGTGTAAGAAGTCTCTTTGCTCCTCCTTCATCTTCTGCCATGACTGTGAGGCCTTCCCAGCCATGTGGAATTCTGAGTCCATTAAACCTTTTTCCTTTATCAATTACCCAGTCTCAGGCTGGGCCTGGTGACTCTCGCCCGTAATCCCAGCACTTTGGGAGGCCGAGGTGGGTGGATCACTTGAGGTCAGGAGTTTAAGACCAGCCTGGCAAACTTGGCAAAACCCCGTCTCTACTAAAAATACAAAAATTAGCTGGGTGCGGTGGCACGCACCTTTGGTCCCAGCTACTCGGGAGGCTGAAGCAGGAGAATTGCTTGAGCCTGGGAGGCAGAGGCTGCAGTGAACCGAAGTCGCGCCACTGCACTCCAACCTGGGAGACAGAGTGAGACCATATATATACCACAAGGCACGGCTGTAAGCCTACCTTTCTCCCAGGGTCACACCAGCTCTCCCAGAAAGAATTACCCTCTCTGTTGGTTTCTTCTCTTTCCCTTTGTATCCCCAGTAAAGCACTTCTCACCATCTGCCTTATGCCTGTTGCCCCCAACAAATCGAGTGGCCCTGTAGGGAACAAATGATCTTATCTTTGTGTTCCTCCTGATGCTTCCTAGGGTCCCACACAAAATAGACAAGCAATACTTGGTGAACCCCATCTTATTCGTAATAGACATAAGAGGTAAAATTAAAAATAAAAGTTTGAGGTTATGCACAATGGCTCATGCCTGTGATCCCAGCATTTTGGGAGGCCCAGGTGGGAGGGTGGCTTGAGCTCAAAAGTTCAAGACCAGCCTGGGCAATATAGTGAGACCCCATCTCTCCAAAATAAAAATAAATAAATAAATTAGTTGGGCTGGTGGCATTTGCCTATAGTCCCAGCTACTCAGGAGGTGAAGGTTGGGAGGATCGCTTGAGTTTGGGAGGTCAACACTTCAGTGAGCTATGATGATCGCACCACTGCACTCCAGCCTGGGTGACAGAACAAGACCCTGTTTCAAAGTAAATAAATTAAAAAATAAAAATGTGATAGAATGTCAACTAACAATAGAAGAAGAAATAGTAGAGTTAGAAAAATGACTCACGCCTGTAATCCCAGCACTTTGGGAGGCCAAGGCAGGCGGATCACGAGGTCAGGAGATCGAGACCATCCTGGCCAACATGGTAAAACCCTGTCTCTACTAAAAATACAAAAACTAGCTGGTCATGGTGGCATGTGCCTGTAATCCCAGCTAATCAGGAGGCTGAGGCAGGAGAATTACTTGAACCAGGGAGTCGGAGGTTGCAGTGAGCCGAGATTGCGCCATTGCACTCCAGCCTGGCAACAGAGCAAGACCCCATCTCAAAAAAAAAAAAAAAAAAAAGAGAAAAGAAAAAAGAAAAAGAAAAAGAAAAGAAAAGAAAAAGAAAAATCACCATTTTGTAGCCATCGTAGTATTAATTAATTAATTAATTCAAGCAAGAATCAATGGATACTAAAATGACTGGATGAAATTCAGAAGAGGAACAGGCTACATTTACATAGTCTTAAGGTATTTCCCCCACAGATGAGGTATTAATTTCAATGGAAACCAATGATAACAATGGAAGAGCCTGGCCTACACTACCTTAAACAAGTGATCAAAATCAAGATCACCACCAATAGGACAAACTGGCTGGGTGCAGTAGCTCATGCCTGTAATCTTAATGCTTTGAGAGGCTGAGGCAGGAGGATTGCTTGAGCCTAGGAGTTCAAGACCAGCCTGGGCAACATGCTGAGATCTCATCTCTACAAAAAATAAACCAAAAAAAAAAAATTGCCAGGCATGGTAGTGTGCACCTGTAGTCCGAGCTACTTGGGAGGCTAAGGCAGGAGGTTCACTTAAGCCCAGAAGTTCAAGGCTGCAGTGAGCTTAGATCACACCACTGTGCTCTAGCCTAGGCAACAGAGTGAAATACTATCTCTCTAATGAAAGTTTTTTTTTTAAAAAAAACGACAAAATGAGTTTGTCATTGTCACATTATGAGTTTGCCACATTATGAGTTTCCCAGTGTGAACTGAGAAGGATGCAAAATCAATATCCTGATGTGAACTGAGAAATAATGAGGAATTTATGTACATAAATTTCTACAAAAAATTCGTAACGTGAATCTAATCATGAAGAGAGATAAGACAAACCCCAATTGAGGAACATTCTATAAACGAGTGGCTTCCACTCTTTGAAAAAATGTAGATGTCGTAAGAGAAAAAGAAAAGTTCAGGGACTGTTTTGTTTTGTTTGTTTTTGTGAGACAGAGTCTCCCTCTGTCACCCAAGCTGGAGTGCAGTGGAGTGATCTCAGCTCACTGCAACCTCTGCCTCCTGGGTTCAAGTGATTCTCCTGCCTCAGCCTCCCAAGTAGTTGGGATTACAGGCATGCACCACCACACCTGGCTAACTTTTGTATTTTTTAGTAAAGACAGAGTTTCACCATGTTAGTCAGGCTGGTCTTGAACTCCTAACCTCAAGTGATCCACCTGCCCCCAAAGTGCTAGGATTACAGGTATAAGCCACCATGCCCAGTCAGGCACTGTTCCTTTTTAAAGAAATGGGTAATCCTGGGTTTGGTTTAGATGAAGGGCACAATAAATATTTTGGGGTTATTAGCAAAATTTGAGTATGAACTGTATATTAGACAATAAACCAATGCTACATGACTGAACTTGACAATATAACTAGTGTGTAAGAGGGCTGGGCACGGTGGCTCATGCCTGTAATCTAGGCACTTTGGGAGTCTGAGGTGAGTGGATCACTTGAGGTCAGGAGTCAAGAACAGCCTGGCCAACATGGTGAAACCCCGCCTCTACTAAAAAATACAAAAATTAGCCAGGAGTAGGGGTAGGTGCCTGTAATCCCAGCTACTCCAGAGGCTGAAACAGGAGAATTGCTTGAAGTTGGGAGGCAGAGCTTGCAGTGAGCAGAAATCATGCCACTGCGCTCCAGCCTGGGCGACAGTGAGACTCTGTCTCAAAAAAAAAAAAAAAAACAAACAAAAAACCACCAAACAAACAAACAAAATAAAAATAACTAGTTATATAAGAGAATATCCTTTTTTTAAGGATACACACCCTGATTATTCAAAGGAGGTAAAGGCCATGATGTGAGCAATTAACTGTAAATCAGGAGAAAAAAGTCTGTGTGTGTATGTGTGTCTGTGAGAGTGTATTATATGCATACTGAGAGATATAAACAGACATAGAAACAGATATACAGAGAGAGAGGCAGATGTGGCAAAATATTAATGATTAGCAAATCAGGATGAAAGTATATGGGAATTCTTAAAAAAAAAAAAAGTTTAGCCAGACATGGTAGTGTGTGCCTGTAATCCCAGCTACTCGGGAGGCTGAGGCCGGAGAATCCCTTGAACCTGGGAAGCAGAGGTTGCAGTGAGCCAAGATCGTGCCACTGCACTCCAGTGTGGGCGACAGAGCAAGACTCCGTCTCAAAAAAAAAAAAAAAAAAAAAAGAATGGGAATTCTTTGTATTATTCTTGCAACTTTTTCTGTAGGTTTGAAATCATTGTGAAATAAAACTAAAAACAATAAAAGGAATAACGTTTGAAGACTTTATTTTAACAGATGAAATTCTGCTGTCTAGGACTGGTCTTCGAGGATTTGTATTTATAGAAGGTTGAAAGTTAACTTGAAGAAAACCCAGCACTAATCCACACAAGCAATTCCATCTCAGTTCAAACACATCCCTTTCCTCTGTCTTCATGGACTAGTCATTTCTCTGTCATGATGGCCTCGATGTCTTAGGTGCCACCACAGTTACCACAGTTATCAAACTTGTTTTTATTCTACACCCATGGTGCAGTTTCTGCCGTGTAGCACACTAAATGCTTTGAATGTATGAGAATGAAGACAACACACACACACACACACACACACACACACACACACACACACGAGGCTCCAGAGCTTTAAATGAAAATGTCAGAAAGAACATTACTGCCGTTATGTCTTTAAAAAATATTAGGATAGGCCGGGGGCGGTGGCTCATGCCTATAATCCCAGCACTTTGGGAGGCCAAGGCAGGTGGCTCACTTGAGGTCAGGAGTTTGAGACCAGCCTGGCCAACATGGTGAAACCCCATCTCCACTAAAAATACAAAAAAATTAGCTGGGAGTGGTAGTGGGCACTTGTAATCCCAGCTACTAAGGAAGCTGAGGCAGGGGAATCTCTTGAACCCGGGAGGCAGAGGTTGCAGTGAGCCAAAGTCATGCCATTGCACTCCAGCCTGGGCAACAAGAGTGATACTCCGTCACAAGAAAAAAAAAAAAAAGGCCGGGCGCGGTGGGTCACACCTGTAATCCCAGCACTTTAGGAGGCCAAGGCAGGCAGATCACGAGGTCATGAGATCGAGACCATCCTGGCTAACACAGTGAAACTGTGTCTGTACTAAAAATACAAAAAATTAGCCAGGTGTGGTGGCGGGAGCCTGTAGTCCCAGCTACTTGGGAGGCTGAGGCAGGAGAATTGCTTGAACCCGGGAGGCGGAGCTTGCAGTGAGCCGAGATGGCGCCACTGCACTCCAGCCTGGGCGACAGAGCAAGACTCTGTCTCAAAAAAAAAAAAAAAAAAAGGTAAACATAGTAGAGGCAGTGGTAATAATATGCACAATTCAAACAATAAAATATCAATTTTATTTTAATGTAGTTTTGATTAGGTGTTTTTTGTTTTTGTTTTTGTTTTTGTTTTTGAGATGAAGTCTCACTCTGTTGCCCAAGCTGGAGTGCAATGGTGCGATCTCGGCTCACTGCAACCTCCACCTCCCGGGTTCAAGCGATTCTCCTGCCTCAGCCTCCCAAGTAGCTGGGACTACAGGCATGTGCCACCATGACTGGGTAATTTTTGTATTTTTAGTAGAGACGAGGTTTCACTATGTTGGCCAGGCTGGTCTTGAACTCCTGACGTCGTGATCCGCCCGCCTTGGCCTCCCAAAGTGCTGGAATTACAGGCGTGAGCCACCGTGCCCAACCTGGGTTTAATTTTGAAAAGCCAAAAAACCTGCTGTCAAGGACCATGGGGTTTGATCTTAGTGGGGCCATCCCGACATCGCGCTCTGCAATGTGTTTGAGAAGGCAGATCTGAGGTAGCATGAAATAAAGACCCATGCCAGGCACCAGTTGGACTTTAAAGATATATCTTTCAAATGTGAAAAATACTAGATTCTTCTTTTTATGCCACCAGAACGTTTTGAGGAAATGGGATCCTTTTTTTTTTTTTTTTTTGTTTGAGACAGAGTCTTGCTCTGTCGCCCAGGCTGCAGTGCAGTGGTGCGATCTCGACTCACTGCAAGCTCCACCTCCTGGGTTCACGCCATTCTCCTGCCTCAGCCTCCCGAGTAGCTGGGACTACAGGCGTCTGCCACCACCCCCGGCTAATTTTTTTTTTTTTTTGTATTTTTAGTAGAGATGGGGTTTCACCATGTTCGGCAGGATGGTCTCGAACTCCTGACCTTGTGATCCGCCCCCCTCGGCCTCCCAAAGTGCTGGGATTACAGGTGTGAGCCACCGCGCCCGGCAGAAATGAGATCCTTAACACTGTTCACAACATTATTGTTGAGGTTTGGAATCCCAGACATAATGAGCAGGGTGGCCTAATGGCACGTGGCAACAGAAGACAGAGCACACACAAAGGATGATTGAAGAGATGCCGATGCAAATTGCCCACAGCGTGTATGTATGAGGGAGAAAGGAGTCATTGAAGATTTTCCTATGATAAAGTATTTTTAAAACAACCAACAGATACGTACTGGACTCCTATGAGTAAAAACACTGAGAGTCCAGACAAAAGCGAAGCTGCTTCAGTTGAATAGAATCCCATCTAGTTTAAGTTACAATATATACACATGCAAAATACAAAACTTTATCATGTCCCAAATGCATGGTGAACCAGGAAGAGAGAGATCACTGTGGACTTTGATACTTGGATTAACCCTTAAAGAAAGCGCAAGTCTCTGCAAACTGCAAAACGGTAGATAGGAGGAAAGCGGAGGGAATTCCGGGCAAGAACTAGCTTGGTGCTTAGGGTTCAACACAGATTACATAAATTGATGAGAACAATTAGCCCCTAAATGGATCAAATCAGATTTCTCCATGATGTGTAAATAATTTATGTAATAAAGTCCAGGAGAATTTCTAACATAATGGAAAGTCTTGTGAATCAGTGTGATCATAAAGTTAAAAGACATAGCCAGGTGCAGTGGCTCATGCTTGTAGTCCTGGCTACTTGGGAGGCTGAGGCAGGAGGATTGCTTGAGCCTATCAGGTTGAGGCTACAGTGAGCTGTGATCTCACCATTCTCTCCAGCCTGGGTGACAGAGTGAGACTCTATCCCCTGACAAAAAAAAAAAAGTTAAATGATAAGTGACCCCTCTACCCTCAAGTTCCCAAAATAGTAAGTGACTAGGAGAAATTATTTGCAGCAAAAGATTAATATTCACAATCACAAAAGACATTCTTTAAAAAGCTATTTAAAGAAAAAGATAAACTGGCCAGGCATAGTGGCTCACGCATGTAATCCCAGCACTTTGGGAGGCTGAGGCAGGTGGATCACCTGAGGTCAGGAGTTCGAGACCCGCCTGACCAACATGGAGAAACCCTGTCTCTACTAAAAATACAAAAATTAGCCGGGCGCAGTGGCTCACGCCTGTAATCCCAACACTTTGGGAGACTGAGGTGGGCAGATCACAAGGTCAAGAGATTGAAACCATCCTGGCCAACACGGTGAAACACCGTCTCTACTAAAAATACAAAAAAATTAGCTGGGTGTGGTGGCACATGCCTGTAATCCCAGCTACTAGGGAGGCTGAGGCAGGAGAATCACCTAAACCCAGGAGGTGGAGGTTGCAGTGAGCTGAGATCACGCCACTGCACTCCAGCCTGGTGACAGAACGAGACTCCATCTCAGGAAGAAAAAAAAAAATTAGCCAGGTGTGGTGGTGGGTGCCTGTAATCCCAGCTACTTGGGAGGCTGAGGCAGGAGAATTGTTTGAACCCAGGAGGCGGAGGCTGTGGTCAGCCAAGATCGTGCCATTGCACTCCAGCCTGGGCAACGAGCAAAACTCCATCTCAAAAAAAAAAAAAAAAAAAAAGATAATGCGACAAACAAAAAATTAGGCAATAGGAGTAAATAGGCAATTCACAAAAAAGACATACAAATGGCCAATAAACATAGGAAAAGATTTCCAACCCCCTGACTATGAGGAAAATGCAAATTAAAACAGTAATGGAATAGCATTTTGTTCAACTGATGTACAAAAATGAGAAAGATTCCAGGAGGATGTAGAGGAAACTGAAAGTCTCATAATGTCAGTAAAAATATAACTTCTTGTGGACTTTGTAAAATATATATCTGTACAGAGGGCAATTTCATGGATCTGTTAAATATAAAATTTCGGCTGGGTGTGGCGACTCACACCTTTAATCCTAGCACTTTGGGAGGCTGAGGTGGGTGAACTGCTTGAGCTCAGGAGTTTGAGACCAGCCTGAGCAACATGGGCAAAACCCCATCTTTACAAAAATAAAAAATAAAAAAATATATATATGCATACACACACACACACATAAAAGTGTCATACACTTTGACATTCCATTTTTAAGAATTTGTTCCTCAAAATTATTCAAATGTGCACAAAGATAGGCATAGCAGAATGTTTATTGCAGCACTGTTTGTCATAATGAAAAATCAGCAGCCATCTAAATATCCAACAGTAAGTATGTAATGATCAAGTAAATGATTAAGTAAACTCTAGTACATCCACACCATGTACTACTATTCAGCAATTTTTTTTTTGTTGGAGATGGAGTCTGGCTCTGTCACCAGGCTGGAGTGCAGTGGCGCGGTCTCGGCTCACTGCAACCCCCACCAGGCTGGAGTGCAGTGGTACACTCTTGGCTCACTGCAACCTCCGCCTCCCAGGTTCAAGCGATTCTCCTGCCTCTGCCTCCCAAGTAGCTGGGATTACGGGCACGCGCCACCACGCCCAGCTAATTTTTGTATTTTTAGTAGAGATGGAGTTTCACCATGTTGGCCAGGTTGGTCTTGAACTCCTGACCTCATGATCTGCCTGCCTCGGCCTCCCAAAGTGTTGGGATTACAGGCGTGAGCCACCGCACCTGGCCTATTCAGCAATTTTAACAGAATAAAGTGTCTATATCTGTACTGACACAAGAAGATCTCTAGGCTGGGCATGGTGGCTCACGCCTGTAATCCCAGCAGTTTCGGTGGCTGAGGCAAGAGGATTGCTTGAGGCCACAAGTTTGAGACCAGCCAGGCCAACATAGCAAGACCTTGTCTCTATTTTAAAAAATGAATAATAAGGCCAGGCGCGGTGGCTCACGCCTGTAATCCCAGCACTTTGGGAGGCCGAGGTGGGTGGATCACGAGATCAGGAGATCGAGACCATCCTGGCTAACATGGTGAAACTCTGTCTCTACTGAAAATACAAAAAATTAGCCAGGCGTGGTGGCAGGCGCCTGTAGTCCCAGCTACTCGGGAGGCTGAGGCAGGAGAATGGCATGAACCCGGGAGGCAGAGCTTGCAATGAGCAGAGACTGCGCCACTGCACTCCAGCCTGGGCGACAGAGCGAGACTCCATCTCAAAAAAAAAAAAAAAAAAAAAAGAATAATAAATTTTAAAACAATAATACAAATAAAATAAAATAAAGATACAAAGAGAAAGAGAGGCCTTGTGTTTACCTGTTTAAAAAATGTTAGAACCTCACAATAACTGAGTTTAGTTTCTTAATCTACTCCACATATGCTGTAAGATACAAAGCACTGGCAGCAGCTCCTGAAAAGGAACCAGCAGAATGATCAATGTGATGCTTGCTATGTAGCATTTTACAAAGTCAACTTATGAAAGAAAGTCTGATCCTTTCAATTTTCCTGCCCAATTATTTTCGGTTGATATGTCTCTGGAAAATCTCTATCCCTCTCACCATGAATATTTGATTAAGTCTATTCATTTTTTTCCTCCATAAAGCATCCTGGTTTACACTTCGCCTTGTTTGTTTGGTGAGGTGGTTGAATGCATTTGTTTGTATGATCCTGGTAATATGTCATCATTGGAGTTATAATATGTTAATTTTTCAGAAATTTACAAAAACTAAAGAGAGGATACTTAATACCAGTGCCACCTCAATTCAGTGATATCAGTATACAAACACACTGGCCATTGTGACATGTAGCAACAATCCAGTATGTTTAATGTTTAAGAAGCCAAGTCGGCTGGGTGCGGTGGCTCACACCTGTAATCCCAGCACTTTGGGAGGCTGAGGCAGGTAGATCACAAAGTCATGAGTTCGAGACCAGCCTGGCCAATATGGTAAAACCCTGTCTCTACTAAAAATACAAAAATTAGCCGGACGTGGTGTTGGACTCTTGTGGTCTCAGCTACTCGGGAGGCTGAGGCAGGAGAAGCGCTTGAACCTGGGAGGCGGAGATTGCAGTGAGCCAAGATCGTGCCACTGTACTCCAGCTTGGGTGACAGAGCAAGACTCCGTCAAAAAAAAAAAAAAAAAAAAAAAAAGAAGCCAAGTCACATTTTTTTTAAGATGGGATCTTTCTTTGGTATCTAAGCTGGCGTGCAGTGGCGCAATCATAGCTCACTGCAGCCTGGAACTCCTGGGCTCAAGCAATCCTCTTGCCTCAGCCTCCTGAGTGTAGCAAGGACTACAGGCGCATACCACTGCGTCTGGCTAATTTTTAAATTTTTTTGTAGAGACAAGGTCTGTCTTTGTTGCCCAGGCTGGCAAGTCACTTCATAGGAACTCATGTTTTGCAAAGATACAGGCAATAACACATTTTTTATGATAGCTTGGTAAATCTCTTAAAAGGGAGAGGTTTATGGCAGAAATGATAACGCTCTAACTACATGTGTGTGGTTAACTCTGTTTCAGCCATTCAAGTTAACTTCTACCTATATTTATGGGCTTGATTGCATAATGTATGAAGTTTGCAGGAAGTACCTGGAAGATAAGGTTACATAGACAAGTTATTTAAGTTTGAAAATAAACCACAGCTCATGCTGGGAAACTAGTTTATAGACAATTTTGTAACACAAGTGAATACGTCATTCATTTTCTTTTAATATTTTTCTTATCGCATAGTTAACATTAGGAGATTAATCATTGTTTGACTGTGCAGCATAGTAAGTTAACAGAAAAATGTAGCATCAGGGATTGATTAGCTGAAAAGTCAGTGAGTTACATTATAGAAGCGAAGATAAAGACTTGATGATATTTAAACCATCCAAACAAATGGATGATTTGCATATATGATGATGTCCCACTGGACAATGGTTTTCTTCATGAGCGTCATTCAGTAGTAAGACTCAGGTCTACTGACAAATATTGCTTGATCAACATATCATTTGCCGCAAGAAATGACCTTTTATGGTTAATGTGTAACTGATTACTGTTCTTCCTCTATAGTAGCCTACATTTTACAGCAGAGAAATACACTGTGTACACTTAGTGCCCTACAACACTAAAACATGTCAAATGGTGGTGGTATACCTTCATATATTATGATATTTGGCATTGTGCAATGGTTATGACACATTTGCAGTGCGTTCACCCTGTGTTTCAGCTCTTGTTATATGCAATAAAACTTTTGCCACAATATTTAGATACTTAGAAAAATCAAGACTATTTTTCTTACAAATTAAGAAAAGAAGAACTAAAATCTCTCATGGAGGCAATAGAGGTTTGAAAGATAATGTATGTAGAGGAAAAACTACTCCATTCTAATGAAAGCAAATTACCCTACAATCTTTGGTGTGGAAAATTAAAACTAATGACATGTTCACATTATAATGCAAAATTGCCTGTAACCTATTTTCCTAGCATGAGATGCAGCTTTTTTTCAAACGTAAATAATGTGTCCATTTAATAATTTACTCTTCTCCATTACTGCAAAGACAAAAAAAAAAAAAAAGCATTTACAATCGCCACCTTTCTATTCCATTAATTGTCAAGAACAATCCAAGAGAGTTCTGTTATTTTCCCTGTGATAATTTTAACAGATCGAACGATTTTTTTAAAACAGGTATTCATATATCTGAGGGCTCTATCTTTTTAAGTGAATGTAAGTAAAATGTGCCACCTTATTAAGTTGGAAATGACCTGTTATCTGTTATTTCTTGACCTTGCAGAGGTTTACAGTGACAAGTGAATTAACCAGGTGAGGGAGAGGGTTTGCTAGTGACTCAGTCACAGTCTATTGTGTGGGATGGCACCTAGCAAAGCATTTAGATTAGGCTGGGGAGGGAACAAAGCTAGGTACACTCTCTCCAGCTTCAGGTAAACAGGATTATTGTTTTCCATCCCTGCTGTTTGGAATGAATGCAATGCTGCAAAGCTAATTGCTGCCATAATTAGGAAAAAAAAACAAGAAGAAGAAGAAATGACTTGGAATGTGTTAATTCAGTATGCTTTAAACCTCAGAGATATCATTTTTCCTCATACACAGGCGAGGCTGGCTCTATTCATAGCTTTTTAAATGATAAGTTTAAATGTTAACATAATATTGAAAAAAATCCTTGGAAGGTAGCAGTTGGTAAGTACTTGGTGTATACAATGCTGAATGGTGGTCATTATTAGCATTGCAACCAGGTGAGTAGAAAAATCCCATTCTGGGACTTAATACCATGTACAGTAACAAATGCAATCAATTGAAATGTTCCTCTTAGAACAGGCCTTGCTGTGTGCCCAGTCTTTGCCACATACTATTTCATAAAGTATGCAACTTTCAAACCACCTCCACATAAGATTTCACTCTGCTGTTGAGAAATTCTTCCTCATGTCTAAGTAAATCACCCTATCTGCAGTTTAGCAATTCTGTTTCCTCACATCTTCAGCAACATCTAACATTCTGTATTAACATATGTCTTCAGCCGGGTAAAGTGGCTCACACCTGTAATCCCAGCACTTTGGGGGGCTGAGGCAGGTGGATCACAAGGTCAAGAGATCAAGACCATCCTGGCCAACATGGTGAAACCCCATCTGTACTAAAAATACAAAAATTAGCTGGGTGTGGTGGCATATGCCTGTTGTCCCAACTACTCAGGAGGCTGAGGCAGGAGAATCACCTGAACCTGGGAGCCGGAGGTTGCAGTGAGCCGAGGTCGCACCACTGTACTCCAGTCTGGTGACAGAGCAAGACTCCTTCTCAAAACAGAACAAAACAAAAAAACAAAAAACAAACAAAAACAAAAACAAACAAACAAAAACATATATATATATATATATATATATATATATACATGTAAGAAGAGAGATATATATATCTCTCTTCTTACGACAAAAAACTCAGCCTAATACCACAAAATGAACATAGCAGAACTGAAAAAAAATTTCTGTCTCCATATGGTACTCATGTACTCTAATTGGACTGTTGGTTGCAAATTTAAAAATAAAATTTGGGAATCAGAAATTGTTTGAGTTGTGGATTCCTACGTGCTGTTTCTAAATGTAAAGTCTTCGTAAAACGGCCTCCTGAGCTGCCAGCATAATTATGGTGAACAGGTTAGTAAGGACATCTCAGTTAAGGCTCTGCATGTTGTTCTGTGCTTTATAGGGAAAATTAAGCATTTTTGAGATTTAAATCTTATTCTTCATAAGATAACTTTTTTGACCTACATGAACATTAATGAAAGCACTAATAATTATAGCTTTTTGCTGCTTGGCCTAAAACAATCTTTCTACTATAATTAGATTTGAAGGGGAACTAGGAAAGACTTTCCATAAAATGCTGTCACAAATTCCCTCCAAAACTGCTTGCCTGTAATTAAGGTGCATTTACAGATCTGATATTCCTTAAAAGAAACATTAACATCACAAAGACCAATCATTCATGGTCAACAAAGGGGATTCAGATTCTCTGATCAAAGCAGTAATCTCTTTTACAGTTGTTACTTTTGAAGTATCTTCAAACAGAACAAACACACATTGACTAGGTAAACAGGTATAGCTGTGGGCTAATTTGCTGTTTCCAGGATTAGACTGTTTTCCCACAAGACCCAAACATAGTAAGGTATAGCCTGTTTTCCATTCCAAACCCTAAACTGCTGATGCTAAGGAGTAATGTTAAAAGGGAAAAGTCCCAAATATGGTTTTTACTATTAAAACTATAAGGTCATCATATATATCATATATTTATTTCTTTATTTTTATTTATTTATTTTTTTGAGACGGAATTTCGCTCTTGTTGCCCAGGCTGGAGTGCAATGGCATGATCTTCATTCACTGTAACCTCTGCCTCCCAGGTTCAAGCGATTCTCCTGCCTCAGCTTCCCAAGTAGGTGGGATTACAGGCATATGCCACCACGCCTGGCTAATTTTGTATTTTTACTAGAGATGGGGTTTCACTGTGTTGGTCGGGCTGTCTCAAACTCCTGACCTCAGGTGAGATCCACCCACCTTGGCCTCCCAAAGTGCTGGGATTACAGGCGTGAGCCACCGCGCCCGGCTGGTCATCTTATATTTTTAATATAACCTTTCCTTTTTCTCAAAATTGCTTGTTTTAAAAAATGTCAGCAAGCTTTTAAAATGATAAACGGCAGAAAAATACACATTACAGGTGGTTAAGTGAAAGAGTACTGAATTTGGATTGCGAAAATTTGAATTTGAGTTTCACCTTTCTCTAGCTGTAAGGCATTGAGTACATTCCTTAACAACTCAAGACCTTTCCCTGAAAATGTAAAATCGGGATAATAGCACATCCCTAACTAGGCTGTTTGTGAAGGTCACATAATGGACACACCAGGACAGGAGTAGGCCCATTTTAAAAATTAAAGCATTATCCAAATAGGCAGTTTGGAGATTTAAATAAGAATATATGGGTTTTTTTATTTTTGTTTTTGTTTTATTGTTGTTGGTTGGTTTTTTGTTGATGTTGGTTGGTTGGTTGTCGTTGTTGCTGTTTTTGAGACAGGGTCTTACTCCATCCCCTAGGCTGGAGCGCAGGGGTCAGGTGTGATCATGGCTCACTGCAGCCTTGACCTCCTGGGCTCAAGTGATTCTCCTGCCTCAGCCTCCTGAGTAGCTGGGACTATAGGCATGTGCCACTATGACCAGCTAATTTTTTTGTTTTTGGGTTTGTGTGTGTTTTTTTTCTTGTTTACCAGTTTATTATAAAGGACATTATAAAGGTATAGATGAATGGGCAGCTGAAGAGGTACATAGGGTGAGGTCCAGAAGGGTCCCGAGCATAGGAGCTTCTGTTCCCATGAAGTTGGGGTGCACCACTCTTCTGGCATGTGGATGTGTCACCAACCTAGATGCTCACAAAACCCCTTGGCTGCTGCCTAGTGCAATGCTGTAGCCTCATAATGTCCTTAGCATGAGGATTAGCCCTGCCTTCTAGTAACATGACAGCAATCTCATGCCTATTTTTGGAAGCTGCATAATGTAGGGGAGTACAGTCATTTTGATGGACAGCATTCACTTGAGCACCTTTTCCCAGAAGGGCTTTTACAATCTCATCCCGGCCAGCAGAAGCCGCAATTTGAGAGGAGACCAACTTGCATCGTCTTTATCATTCACTGGCACTCCAAGTTGCAACAAAAATTCATCAATTCCTTTATGTCCAGCTGAGCATGCCTAGTGCAATGCTGTTCTGCTGTCCTGGTCAGTTCTAGTAGCTAGGGATTTATCGGCCAGAATACCCTCCTTGAACTCTTCCAGCTTCCTGCTGTAGGCCAGATTGCAGACCATTAGGTTAGACACACACCCCTCCATTTTGCTTTCCCAGGAACTCGTGTGTGTGTGTGTTTTGAGACAGGTTCTCACTCTGTCACCTAGGCTGGGGTGCAATGGCACCATCATGGCTCATCACAGCCTTGACCTCCCGGGCTCAGGTGATCCTTCCACCTCAGCCTCCCGAGTAGCTGGAACTACAGGTGTGTGCCACCATGCCTGCCTGATTTTTTTATTTTTGGTAGAGATGGGGTTTTGCCATGTTGCCTAGGATGGTCTCGAACTCCTGGGCTCGAGCGATCCGCCCACCTCAGTCTCCCAAAGTGCTGGGATTACAGGCATGAGCCAATGAGCCCAGCTAAGAATACACATTTTTAAATCTTATTGTTTCTCTGGATAAACATTCTTGAAGTCCTAATGAGTAAAAAGAAAAAAAAAAACAAAACAAAAAACTTTACCACCTTGTAACAGCTTATATGTTAAACGTGCTTCAGGAAACTCAAGCTCTGTGACTCAAGAATGTTAAACAAGTTTCTTTTCTAAAGTGCTTTGCAGAGCCCTTTAAATCTCCAAAAGAATCACAGTAGTATGAAATGTATGTCAAACATTTGACAGTACAGCTGTTTTATCCTGAGGCTATTGGCGGAACTAGTGTTCCTTCAAAAACACTTTGGGAATTGCTGTCTTTTAGTTGAGTAGTGAGCACTTAGATCCTCAAGCAAATCTATTTTTTTTTTTTAATTCTAAAAAAGCAAGTCTATTTTTTAAGGCTGTACCATTTGGTATAAGATTACAGTTAATGGCCATAGAGTGTCCTAAAGTCAATCGCAGCATAAGGAGTTTGTAAAAATTTGCCACTGTGAGTCTATATATCTAGCAGCTCCACCACTTATAATGAGTGACTTTAGGTAAGGTTTTAAATGTATCTAAGCCTCGGTATTCTCATCTGTAAAACAGGGAGAATATTTACTGCATAGATCGTGGCAAAAATCAAATAAAGGTAGTTGGCACAGTGAGCTTAATAAGTGGTAGATCAAATTTTCTCATTGTTTTAAAGGAAATGTCTAGGTTAAAAGAGTGACCTTCCCTAGGTCACATAGCAACTCAGTGACATTGTTAGAAAGAGACCAGGATTTTGGAAGCTTCTCACTATTGCTTGAATCTACCTCTATTAAGATACTAGAATAGATTATTAAACAAGTGATTTGTAAGAAGAAAAGTAATAACCACTTGAGACCAATGTTATTTCAATACAAATGAGTTGGGCTAAACTAAGACAAGCACTTAAAAAAGAAACAGTGCTATTAAATTGGTAGCCTGGGGGGATGCCAGAGGCATAAGAAAAAAATCTTTGGTGATTCTTTTTCTCCTCCCACCCCCTCCAGGGATGGGGGAGGAATGGAGATTGCTAAGGGAAGGGGGTTTCATCTTTAGTTATTCTGTGGAGTAAGACGGTGAAAGGTGAATTAGCTCACAAGCCTGTACAATTTATTTCTTTTTCTCTTTTGTTGTTGTTTATTTATTTATTTTTTTATGGTGGCGTGGTGGGCGCGAGGGCTCCGAGAATCACTTTTTAAAATCTAGCTGGATGTTCCTAACAATTTATTTATAGCTATTTGAAATAACTGACCCAGAGAGTGATTGATTTCAACTTATAAAGAAATGTTTCACATTTGTCACAAGGCTTCCTATTGGGTTCTCTCTTGACAATTTTTTTTTTTTGAGATGGAGTTTCACTCTTTTTGCCCAAGCTGGACTGCAGTGGCACGATCTCGGCTCACTGCAGCCTCTACGTTCCATCTCAGCCTCCCAAGTAGCTGGGACTACAGGTGCATGCCACCACTTGCGGCTATAGAACCCCATTTTTAGAGATACATGGGGCAAACTAGAACGCATCTATGTAAGGGTGGCCAAGTAGTGAGGAGTTGAGAAGCCAAAGCACACAAAAAGCAAATGATTTTGTGCCATGCATTGGATAAATTCCTATTTATTTATTTATTTTTGAGACGGAGTTTCAATCTTGTTGCCCAGGCTGGAGAGTGCAGTGGCGCGATCTCGGCTCACCGCAACCTCTGCCTCCCGGGTTCAAGTACTTCTCCTGCCTTAGCCTCCTGGGTAGCTGGGATTACAGGCATGTGCCACCACGCCCGGCTAATTTTGTATTTTTCGTAGAGACGGGGGTTTCTCCATGTTGGTCAGGCTGGTCTCGAAGTCCCGCCCTCAGGTGATCTGCCCGCCTAGGCCTCTCACAGTGCTGGGATTACAGGTGTGAGCCACCACGTGCCTGGCCTTGTTTTTTCTTAATTTTTATTTATTTATTTATTTTGAGACAGAGTCTTCTCTGTCGCCCAGGCTGGAGTGCAATGGCGAGATCTTCTTGGCTCACTGCAACCTCCACCTCCCAGCTCAAGTGACTCTCCTGCCTCAGCCTCCCAAGTAGCTGGGATTACAGGCGTGTGCCAACATGCCCGGCTAATTTTTTGTATTTTTTAGTAGAGACAGGTTTAGCCAGGATGGTCTTGATCTCCTGACCTCGTGATCCACCCGGCTCGGCCTCCCAAAGTACTGGGGTTACAGGTGTGAGCCACCAAGCCCGGCTGGATAACTTCTTTCATATGTCTCTGCCTTTAATGCTCTCTATAACCTATTAGGCAGGTACAATTATTACAATTTTCCTCCCCTCCCCCCAAGACAGAATGGGTTCTGGCACCCTGCCTGGAGTGCAGTGACCCAATCACAGCTCACTACAGCCTCCAACTCCTAGGCTCAAGCCATCCTCTGACCTCAGCCTTCCGTGTAGCTGGGATTATAGGAGTACACCACCACACCTGGCTAATTTTAATTTTTTAATAGAGACAGGGTCTTACTGTGTTTGCTCAGGCTGGTCTTCAAATCCTGGGCTCAAGGGATCCTCCTGTCTCAGCCCTGCAAGGTGTTGGAATTACAGTCGTGACCCACAAAGTCTAGCCTAATTCTTTGAATTTTAAAGATGAGTAACTATGGCTTAGAGAGGTTAAGTGGTCACACATGTAGTAAGAGGTGGTGCTGGAATGTAAAACTGGAAATATGAAGACACAGAAAAGGGATTACTTTTAATCACCATAGCTTCTAGAGACACATTAATGCCAATGGATATAGGATCAAAGGAATACTTAGCTGATGGATAGTCCACAAAATAACTGACATGTACTCCAAAAATATCAGTGTTATAAAAGACAGATTGAAGAACTATTCTAGATTAAAGAAGGTATAAGAGGCATGACCACTGAATGCAATGAGTAATCTGAGATTGACTTCTCAACAGAGGGCATATTAGGGCAACTGGGGAAATCTCAATAACATCTTTAGATTAGATAATAGTATTGTATCAATGTTAATTTCCTGATTTTGATCATTGTACTATGCTTATGTAAAAGAATGTTCTTATTCTTAGGAAATGCTCATGAAACATTATCAGTAAAGCAAAATCGTATCTGCAAAGTACTCTTAAAAGGCTCAGGGGAATAAACAAAAGAGACAAGGAAAAGGATAAAGTGATACAATGCAAATATTTGGAGAATCTCAGTAAAGAGCAAATGGTAATTATTTGCATGATTCTTGCAACTTTTTTGTAACTCTGATATTAAGTCAAAATTAGAAGTTTCTAGGCTGGGCTCTGTGGCTCATGCCGGTAATCCCAACACTTTGGGAGGCCAAGGTAGGAGGATCGCTTGAGCCGAGGAGTTTATTACCAGCCTGGACAACGTAGTAAGACCTCGTCTCTACAAAAAACTTAAAAAATTAGCTGGCATGGTGGCATGTACTTGTGGTTCCAGCTACTCGGGAGACTGAGGTGGGAGGACTGTTTGAGCCCAGGACTTAGACCAGGCTGGGCAACATGGTGAGACCCTGTTTTTACTAAAAAAAAAAAAAATTAGCCAGATGTGGTGGCACATGCCTATAGTCCCAGCTTGTTGGGAGTCTGAGGCGAGAGGATCACTTAAGCCCAGGAAGTTGAGGCTGCAGTGAGCCATGATCACGCCACTGTACTCCAGCCTCGGCAACAGAGTAAGACCCTGTCTCAAAATAAAAAAAAGTTTTTAGGGGGCCCCACCTACAGTCCCAGATACTCGGAGGCTGAGGCAGGAGGATCTCTTGATCCCAGGAGTTCAAGTCCACCCTGGGAAGAATAGTGAGACTCCCATCACTCTTTTAAAAAAAAAGTTAGCTGGCTCACACCTGTAATCTCAGCACTTTGGGAGGCCGAAGTGGGCAGATCACCTGAGGTCGGGAGTTCAAGACAAGCCTGGCCAACATGGTGAAACCCTGTTTCTACTAAAAATACAAAAATCAGCTGGGTGTGGTGGTGGGTGCCTGTAATCCCAGCTACTCGGGAGGCTGAGGCAGGAGAATAGCTTCAAGCCAGGAGGCAGAGGTTGCAGTGAGCCAAGATCGTGCCACCGCACTCCAGCCTGGGTGACAGAGTGAGACTTGGTCTCAAAAAAATAAAAATAACAATAAAAATAACAATAAAAAATGTTTAAAAAAACATTAAAAAATATGTAGGGCAGTAGAGCAATGAAAAAAGTTAAGAGGAAATATTCTGTAAACAATGAGTAACACAGGAACTGAGGTAGGAGAGACTTCAGGGATTGTAAAGGCTACAGAGGAAGATTTGCAAATCATTCATGAAAATGCATGACAGCCGGGCACGGTGGCTCATGCCTGTAATCCCAGCACTTTGGGAGGCCGAGGTGGGTGAATCACCTGAGGTCAGGAGTTCAAGACCAGCCTGGCCAATATGGTGAAACCCCATCTCTACTAAAAATACAAAAAAATTAGCTGGGTGTGGTGGCGGGCAGCTGTAATCCCAGCTACTCCAGAGGCTGAGGCAGGAAAATCACTTGAACCCGGGAGGCGGAGGTTGTGGTGAGCCAAGATTGTGCCATTGCACTCCAACCTGGGCAACAAGAGCAAAACTGCGTCTCAAAAGAAAAAAGAAAAGAAAACGCATGACAGTAATTGATGGATTAATCTCTCATTCATTCAGAAAAATACTTTCATCACTTAAATCTTAAAAAAAAAATACAGTTAAGCTTGGGCAACATGGTGAGATGCTGTCTCTACTAAAAGATACCAAAAAAATAGCTGGGTGTGGTGGTTCGTGCTTGTGGTCTCAGCTCCTTGGAGGCTGAGGCAGGAGGATCACTTGAACCCAGGAAGTTGAGGCTGCAGTGAGCCGAGATCATGCCAGTGCACTACAGCCTGGGAAACAGAGTGAGACTCTGTCTCAAAAAAAAAAAAAAAAAAAAAAGGAAAAGAAAAAACAAAATTAAAAAATACAGTTGTACAACAATTAGAATTTATTGATACCTGTTTTTCCAAACTGATGGAGACTTTTTGGTTACATAAATTAGTCTTTACTGACTCTTGGGAGGAACAGTATGTTTGAACAGAGACTAGACAGGTATCTTGAGAAAAGGAAGGGTGAAAAGAACATATTACAATAAATCAAGATATGAGGACAGGCGAGGTGGCTCATGTTTATAATCCCAGCACTTTGGGAGGCTGAGGTAGGAAGATTGCTTAAGCCCAGGAGTTCAAGACCAGCCTAGGCAACACAGTGAGACCCCAGCCCCGCAAAAAAACAAAACAAACAAAAAAAAACAAAAAAAAAAAACAAAAAAAAAACAAATTAGCCAGGCATGGTGGCTTATGCCTGTAGTCCCAGCTACTTGGGAGGCTGAAGCAGGAGAATGGCTTGAGCTGAGGAGCTGGAGGCCACAGTGAGCCATGATCACACCACTGTACTCCAGCCTGGGGGACAGAGACCCAGTATAGAGATTTCATTTTTTTCAAATTATGTTTACTGTTGTAGAGATGTCAAGAGTTCAATAAATAGCACCTCTCTTTTCAGGCAGTGGAAGACAAAAGAGAGATTTAAAATATTACTTTTAAATTTAAAATGTTGGAAGTCATAGTTTATTGTGAAGGCCAAATGGGCTTGAAGCATCCCCACTCCCACCCCCACTGTGTCCTCGACTTACCCACCAGTCACATGGGACGATGAAGACCTGCAACATGGGGAACAAAGAACTGCCCCAGGAATAGACTAGGCTGGTGGCTGGTTCTTTTGTAGAGAAAAACGGACAGGAAAAAGAAGAACTACACAAGTCAGTCCCTCAAAGGAAATGTAGCAATCAGACAGTCAGGAGACAGAAAGAGGCAGGAATATGTGGAAAAATCCACCCTTATGGAAAACAGGTAGAGTTTGGGGGCAGGGGAGAGAGGACACATTTATTTCCCTCTAATATTTTTTTCCTTTCTTTCTATTTTTTTTTTTTTAATTTTACTTTAAGTAAAATAAAAACTTTACTGAAGTTCTGGGATCCATGTGCAGAACGTGCAGGTTTGTTGCATACGTATACACGTGCCATACCGGCTTGCTGCACCTTTTCCTTTCTTTCTTTTCTCTTTCCCACTTCTCCTTCCCCTTCCCTTCCCTTCTCCTCTTCTTTTCTCTTTTCTTTTCCTTTTTAGAGACAAGGTTTCCCTCTGTTGCCCAGGCTGGAGTGCAGTCATAGGATCATAGCTCACTGCATCCTCTACCACCTGGCTCAAGCAATCCTCTCCCCTCAGCCTCCCAAGTATCTGAGACTACATGCACACACCACCAAATCTGGCTAATTTTTAAAATTTTTTGTAGAGATGGGGTCTTGCTACATTGCCCAGGCTGGCCTCAAACTCCTGGCCTCAAGAGATCCTCCGACCTAGGCCTCCCAAAGCACTGGGATTACAGGCATGAGCCACCGTGCCTGGCTTTCCCTCTAATACTTTCTATCTCAAAGAAGAGTAGAGAAAAACAAGACAAAACATGGGACTCAGCTGAACACTGAAGAATGACTTTACGGGAAGGGCTGAGGGAAAAGAGCATTTACACTGGAAGAAGAGAGAGACAAAGGCTTAGGGACTCAGTCGTAGCAGGTGGAGCCAGCGCGCTTTGGGAGATAGTTTTACTTCAGTAATTGAGGAAGGAACCAGGTTGTAATGGGTACATGAGAGTGAAGGAGGGTCTCCTTTCTGTGTTTTCTCTTTTGTCCTTTCCTCAGCTGTTGGTATCTGTTGGGATTTTGTCTTGGGTCTCCTGCATTTCTCAGTCCACATTCTTCAGGGATCATCTCATTGCTGCTCGTGCATCTCAATATAAAGAGTGCAACAAGCACAAAGGGGCTAATCTTGGAAGGAAGAAACTTGTTGTTTTCTGAGATCAGAGAAAAAATATGTTAAGATACTGAGCTGTTTCAGTGCCTAGCAATAACGAGATAGACAATGACCTTCCTTGCTTTTCTGGGTAATGTGGGAGGAGAAAGGATGATCTAATTAGTTTTTAAAATTTGTTTCCAACAAAAATTCAATACAAAAAAATTAAAAGTAAATGTCACTTCCCTTCTTTTCTTTCTTTCTTCCTACCATTGAACAAAATTTGACAGGGGAGTCAATTGTTCTGTGTGCTGGGGATACAGCAGCGACACAGATAAGACTGTTGGCTTTCATGGAATGTATTATATTCTATTTAGATAGGATAGGCAATAAGCAAATAGAAAAGAAAGAAGAAAATTACAGATACTGCTCTAAAGAAAATAAAGAGAGAAATGGACTATAGAGTGATGTGGAGGTATAGGGAGACAGGCTGAACACTAAGCCTCAGAATATTAATTTAAGAAATTATATATCTACATATTGAACACATTATACAATTGAGGTATTTAAAAAACAAATCTAGGGCCGGGCATGATGGCTGATGCCTGTAATCTCAGCACTTTGGGAGGCCGAGGTGGGCAGATCACTTGAGGTCAGGAGCTTGACATGAGACTGGCCAACATGGTGAAACCCCATCTCTACTAAAAATACAAAAATTGGCCAGGCCTGGTGGCATGCACCTGTAATCCCAGCTACTCGGGAGGCTGAGGCAGGAGAATCGCTTGAACCTGGGAGGCAGAGGTTGCAGTGAGCCAAGATCGTGCCACTGCACTCCAGCCTGGGTGACAGAGCGAGACTCCATCTCAAAAAACAAACAAACAAACAAACAACAACAACAACAACAACCCCAACAAATTTAAGATTATTTAGATGACAAAAAAATAATACCAACATTCTATAATTCTGTATATTTCTGCCTAAGGCCATTTACCCCTGATCGTATGAAACCAAAGCAAATAAGAATCAATTTTTTTGGCTGGGTGCTGTGGCTCACACCTGTCATCCCAGCACTTTGGGAGGCTGAGGCAGGTTGATTACGAGGTCAGGAGTTCGAGACCAGCCTGGGCAACATGGTGAAACTCCGTCTCTACTAAAAATACAAAAATTAGCTGGGCGTGGTGGCACGTGCCTGTAGTCCCAGCTACTCGGGAGGCTGAGGCAGGAGGATTACTTGAACCACGGAGTCGGAGGTTGCAGTGAGCTGAGATCACGACACTGCACTCCAGCCTGGTAACAGAGTGAGACTCCATCTCAAAAAAAAAAAAAAAATCAAAAAACATTTTAAGCTCAATTCACCTATCTGTATGACTGTTTGCTAGAACACTCACATGCTAAATTTTATTACACTTTTTTTGAAAGAACAGGCCCATAAAGAATCTGTGACTAAAGACCCCACATGGAGCCAGGTGTGGTGGCTCACTTCTGTAATCCCGGCACTTTAGGAGGCCAAGGCAGGAGGATCCCTTGAGCCCAGGAGTTCAAGACCAGCCTGGGCAACATAGGGAGACTCTGTTTCTATTAAAAAAAAATGAAGATGAAAAAAGTAAAAAAGATAAAAGATTCCACATGGACTGGGTGGAGTGGCTCATGCCTATAATCCCAGCCCTTTGGGAGGCCAAGGCAGGAGGATCCCATGAAGGCAGGAATTTGAGACCAGCCTGGGCAACATAGTGAGACCCGTCTGTACAAAAAATAAAAAAATCAGCTGGGAGTGGTGGCATGGGCCTGTAGTCCTAGCTACTTGGGAGGCTTAAGGCAGGAGGGTTGCTTGAGCCCAGGAGTTCAAGGCTGCAGTGAGCCATGACTGCACTACTGCACTCCAGCCTGGGTGACGGAGCAAGACCCTGTCTCTATTTAAAAACATAAAAATAAAGAAAAGATCCTACAAGGACAAACATTTTCTGGTGTATTTGGCCATATAATTAATTTTGGTTAACTGGATGGACACACCAATTAATTCTATGATTAACAAAAATTCGTAGCTGTGGACATCAGTGCCGCACAAGTAAAGACCTGGCTGCAGTTCCTGCTTGCCCACTGATTCATTGATTCGGCCATCTTGTAGTGTATATTTGTTGTTCTAAGCTCTGAGGATACCAGCAGTCAATATCACAGACGTGTTCTTTGCTCTCCTAGAGTTTGATCTAATGGACACAGCATTTTATCTTTCTTTTAGTCACCAAAGGTAATAGGAATTAGATAAATGTTTTCATTATTTATTTGAGGTCCCTAGCATCATAGCTTTGTTCTTTGCTCTAGCTTCTGGTATTAATGAAAGCGTCACCCCCCCAACCTTTTTTTTTTTTTTTTTGTGATGGAGTCTCGCTCCGTCTCCGAGGCTGGAGTGCAGTGGTGTGATTTTGGCTCACTGCAACCTCTGCATCCCGGGTTCAAGCAATTCTCCTGCCTCAGCCTCCTGAGTAGCTGGGACCATAGGCGCATGCCACCAAGCCCAGGTAATTTTTGTATTTTTAGTAGAGATGGGGTTTCACTGTGTTGGCCAGGTTGGTCTTGAACTCCTGACCTCAGGTGATCCGCCCGCCTTGGCCTCCCAAAGTGCTGGGATTACAGGTGTGAGCCACTGCGCCCGGCTGAGCCTTTTGAATATATCTTTATGTATAAGCATTTGAATATCTATGTAAATAGACTATATATATATTTTTAGAAAATGCCAAAAGAAAGAAATTAACATTTTATAGAGTGTATAGTACATTCCTGGAACTGTGCTAGTAACAGGTAATGATAATGACCCAATCATACTAATAATAGTAAATCAAGATGATCATACCAGAAATAAATGGCAGGAACTGAAAGTAAAAGAGACACATTACGACTCTGATTGCAGTATTAGAAATAAGTGAGGACAGTAATGAGAAAGAAGACATCACTAGTTTATAATGCCTACACATATTTTAGAGCACAATTTAAAATGTTAGTGACATTTCTGCTACATGTTTGCTACATAACATTAACAACTTGCTTAATAAAGCCCTAACAGATGGCATTCAGAAAATTACATATGCTGTGAACTTTGAAAGTTTAGGGGATAAAAATTTAATTTTAGATCCTCTAATTGTTCTATAGTTGTTAAAGAGAAGATAAAGCATGATTAGATATAGAAAAGATATTCAGTATTCAATAATTACATGACATAAAGTAACAAAGTTAAAGAGGAAACAAAAACAGATCCATTATTCTGATTCAGGTACCAATTTGTTAATTAAAGAAATTTTAAAAAGCTTTTTCAAAAATAGAAAGAGAGAGGGAGAGAGGAGAGATAAGAGCAAGAGAGAAAGAGAAATAGGTATCTGAAAAGTACATGGCCTTGGAGAATTTCATAGTGCTTTCTTGAAAATGATGTCAATGGAAATAAATACCAACGATATAAATAAACCCTGTTATTTAAAGACAATGTTTGTAAGGTGATTAGAATGACTTTAATGACGCTTTAAAATGGAATTTCAATTGTATTTCAATGACTTGGTTGAGATATGAGGTACATTCTTTTTAAAAATTTCTTTCATTTTTTTCTTTTTTTTTTTTTTCTGACCAATGGATTCATGTCCTAAGTACATTCTTTTTTCAGAGGGATGTTAAAGTATTCGAAGTCTGAATGATTACTGAATGATTACTCCAGATCACGTTACAATAGCAACACTGGAAATAAATGAAATATAATTTGTGTTGCTGGTATGAGGCTTGAAGGTATTGCGTATAACATGTAAGAACTGGGGAAAAACAACCCTCTGTGAGTGAAACTATGAAGTCATCATTTCCTGGTTTAGAGCAGAGGTATGTAGTCATCAGGAAAGCAGGTTCACTGGCTTCCAGGTCTAGAATAAATTAGCACATGTGAGACAATGTGGTAATGACAGAGGTGGATGGGGATTGCCAATCTGAAATCCATAAAATCAAAGTCTGGAGGAGAATGCATATCTTGGCAGTGTCTAGGGCAGTGGTCTTTAAAAGCTTGTTTTTGGCCATGAACTATAATAAATGCTTTTATTTTATTTAATTATTTTTATAGAGATGAGGTCTTGCTATGTTGTGCAGGCTGGAACTCCTGGGCTCAAGGAATTCTCCTGCCTCAGCCTCCCAAGTAGCTGGGACTACAAGTGTGCCACTGCATCTGGTTAAGAAATACATTTTAGATGGGGCTTGGTGGCTCACACCTGTTAGCTCAACACTTTGGGAGGCTGAGGTGGGAGGATCACTTGAGTCTAGGAATTCGAGACCAGCCTGGGTATCATAATGAGGCCGTGTTTCTACAAAAACAAACAAAAACTTAGCTGGGCATGGTGGCATGCACCTGTGATCCCAGCTACTTGAAAGGCTGAAGTGGGAGGATTGCTTGAGACCCAGAGGTTAAGGTTGCAGTGCGCCATAATTGTACCACTGCACTGCAGCCTGGGCAACAGAGTGAGACCCTGTCTCAAAAACAAAACACCCCCAAAAACCCCTAACATCTTATATTGCGATCTGCTTTCTCGCTTTGTGTGTGTGTATATCAGAAACCTGAGATCTAGAGGATGAGGAGGACTTAGGGGAGGTTAGTATTCTAGGTAGGCAGTATTCTAAGTAGAGAAGGCAGAATGTGGTGAAGAGCCTGAGAAAAGAAACAGCTGGAAGAGTTTAAGGAATTCAAAAAAGGCCACTGAATACCATGGAGGAGCTCAAAAGAAGTTTGGGTTTGGATCAGGCAGGGCCTGTACCCTGTGGCCTGGGCAGTGTTTGCTGGAATGGTGTAGCCCAGTGAGCTGAGTGTAAGCACCTCTTCCTAGCCCCATTTTGGTAGCTCTACGCTGGCCATAGTGGGAGTATTCATTCATTCCATCCTGCCATGAAAATCTAGGCCCCACTATGAAAATCAGGGTCTTTTTTCCTGGGAGCTGATGGTTAAACATTCATGAACACACCTTTGGGGTTATTCTACTACTTTTTAGATTTGTTGCATTTCCCTCCAGGGTTCAGGAGACAGAAACTATCCCCACAAACTAAACACCAGCCCCAAAGTTAATATTATGTCCCTTTTTCTTTTCTTTTCTTTTCTTTTTTTCTCCCTATATCACCTAGGCTAGAGTGCAGTGGCACCATCTTGGCTTACTGCAGCCTCCGCCTTCTGGGTTCAAGTGATTCTCCTGCCTCAGCCTCCCAAGTAGCTGGAACTATTTATATTTTCAGTAGAGATGGGGTTTTGCCATGTTGGCCAGGCTGGTCTCAAACTCCTGATCTCAAGCAATCTTCCCACTCGGACTCCCAAAGTGCTGGGATTACAGGCATGAGCCACTGCTCCCAGCCATTTTTTTTTTTTTTCATTTTTGTCAGCTAACATTCCTTCTCATTTATTGGAATTAAGTTTTGATTTTTTTGAAGGAAAAAATTGTAATGAAATTTTTTTCCTCTGTTTTTGATCTCTTTATTTTACATGACTGGACATTTTAGAAAATTAAGATAAAATTGTGCTTTTACTATGCATTTGAAACTACTTAGTAGTTTTTATGAAGCTATCAACAAGGAACGTAACTGCTGTATTATAAGCTGTGGAACTGAATAATTTAAATGTTTAGAGCTTAAGACTTTTTTTCTTTTCTTATCAAGGGATATGTATGCATTTCCATTATTAGAAGAAAAGTGCATGGATATTTTGTATTGCTTCTGGGTTAAGAAGACAGTCATTTTTATTCTGTTCTATTCATTGCATTTCATTCTATTTGTGACAAAAAAAAATCTGGGAAACTTTTTCTCAACTATAGATGCCCTCCTTAAATATAAAGGAAGTGCCGGACATGGTGACTTATGCCTATAATCCCAGCACTTCGGGAGGCTGAGGCGGGTGGGGTGGATCACCTGAGGTCAGGAGTTCGAGAGCAGCCTGGCCAACATGGTGAAACCCTGTCTCTACTAAAAATTAGCTGGGCGTGCTGGTGGGCGCCTGTAATCCCAGCTACTCAGGAGGCTGAGGCAGGAGAATCACTTGAACCTGGGAGGTGGAGGTTGCAGTGAGTGGAGATTGTGCCACTGAACTCCTGCCTGGGTGACAGAGTGAGACTCCATCTCAAAAAATAAATAAATAAATAAATAAAAATAAAGGAAGCATAGCATATTTAAAATGCAAGAGCTAAAAGGATTGGCTAAATTTAAGATACCTTTAGGAGCTACGGGCTGAGGACAATAAAATATATGTTTTTATGCATCTATTTAGGAAATATTTGTTTATCTTGATGATGTTATGCCAATACGGTAGCTTTTAAGTTATTTCTGAACTTAATAGTCTGTGAAGGCAGTAAGTGAAATATCTTTCTGCAACTATTGCAAACACTCATTATGATCAAAATAGTTAATACTTTAAAAATTTGTTGGTGATGTACAATGTTATGATAAACATTGTGGTGATTGCATTAAGGAATACAGTTTTTCTCTACCTCCCATGCAAGAAACAAATATTTCACATGGGTTTAGTAAAACGCAAGGCTCATCTATTTGATCATTTAAAAATTTTGAATTATATTTATTGAAACATGACATACTGTGCTCTTATACCTCAATTACATTTTGTTCTGTTTTCCAAGTTCATGTCTTATAAATCTCTTGTATAAACTGTAGGTTAAATTCAAAATAAAAAATCACAGTGTAAAAAAAATCCATTCTTTGCTGCGGAGAATGGCATGAGTAAATTTAGGAAGGCCAGTTAGGAGACTACCGAAGAATCCTAGGGAGGAGGACATGATGGCTTGAGCTAAGGTTGTGTTAACAATTCACACACAGGAAATGAAACACACATGTAAAATCAGAGAATTGAAATCTTTAAATTTCAAATTAGAATTGGATATATCAGTGGGAACTCATGAGTTTTTCCCTCTCTTTAAAAACGTATTATTTTACAGCTTTATTAAAAATGCCTCAAAATAAGGAAGGCCTAAAAGCAATTGTCCTTCCCAGTGCCCAGAATGTTCCGTGTTCTGGATTTAGTCAATTGCTTCCTCCTGGCGTCTTTTAGCTTGATTTTCTCTTTCTTGTTTTGCCTGTAGATTGGAAGTTGGATCTGAAGACTCAATTTGATTCAGCTAAAATCTTAAAATTTTTGACAAAAATACTATACATGTATTGCTTTATACTTCACATCACATCACATCACATCAGGAAGCACATAATGTCTGGTTGTCTCATTTTAATGATACTAAGGTTGACTAGTGATTATAGGTGGTTATGGCCTGATATAATATTCCCTATTATCCTTTATCTAATTGTTTTAGCATTCATTGATGTTTGTTAAGTCATTGGCTTCATCAGGGCTTTCTAGATGGTGCCTGCCTGACTGCCTGCCCACCCGCCTACCGTCCTCCTTCTCTCCCTCTTTCCTCCTTTCAAAAAACATCTTTACTGAGGTGCAACTGACATATAATAAACTTCACATTTTGGCCAGGTGAGGTGGCTCACACCTGTAATCCTAGCACTTTGGGAGGCTGAAGTGGATAGATCACTTAAGGCCATGAGTTCGAGACCAGCCTGGCCAACATGGTGAAACCCCGTCTCTACCAAAATACAAAAATTAGCCAGGCGTGGTGGCGGGTGCCTGTAATCCCAGCTACTCAGGAGGCTGAGGCAGGAGAATTGCTTGAACCCAGGAGGCAGAGCTTGCAGTGAGCCGAGATCACGCCATTGCACTCCAGCCTGGGTGACAGAGTGAGACTCCACCTCAAAAAAACAAAACAAAACTGTACATTTTAAAATGTACAATTTGATAAATATTGACAAAGGTATATATCTGTTAAACCATTGCCACAATCAAGACAATGAATATATCCTGTCTTGACATTTCCTTTGCCGTTTTGTGTATTTGAAAATTTTTTTTCTTTTCTGTTTTTTTTTTTTTTTTTTTTGAGACAGAGTCTCACTCTGTCGCCCAGGCTGGAGTGCAGTGGCACGACCTGGGCTCACAGCAGCCTCCGCCTCCCGGTTTCAAGCAATTCTCCTGCCTCAACCTCCCGAGTAGCTGGGATTACAGGCATGCGCCACCACACCCAGCTAATTTTTGTATTTTCAGTAGAGACGGGGTTTTGCCATGTTGGCCAGGCTGGTCTCGAATTCCTGACCTCAGGTGATCCTCCTGCCTAGGCCTCCCAAAGTGCTGGGATTACAGGCGTGAGCCACCATGCCCGGCCGGAAATTTTCACAATCAAAAGTAAAAAAAAATATGAGGCAGATCAACAGGGCTTGGTAATTGAATGCTGGTAGTTAACAAGAGAAGGGTCTTGGATGACTCCTGGTTTTGTGGTATAAGTCACTGAGTAAATAAATGGTAGTACCATTTATTGAAATTGAAAACACTGGAGGAGAAAGTTGGTGAGTTCAGTTTAATACATGTTAAGTTTGAGGTCACAATGGGACATCCAAGTAGAAATGTCAAGTAGGCAGGTGGTTAAAAGGAACCGTCTGAACTGGAGACGTACGTTTGCAAATATTGGCATTTAGTAGCTGAAGCCAGGGTGTAGAAATTATCTGAGAGTAAGTACAGAATGGAATGAATAGGCTTAGAGGGAAAAAAGCTCTGAAAAATTCAGTGTTTTATGATCAGGTAATAGAGGAGGATGAAGGAGAAAAATATGAGTGTATAGTATGGCAGAAGCTAGGAGGAAATAGGGAGAGAAGATGCCAGGTGTGCTGATTCCAATAAGTCATATTCTGTATATCAGTTTTACTTTTCTCTCAGAAGTAATACATAAACATTATGATCTATGCACCAGTAAATATGGGCACACTCCTGAAAGACGTGTCATCTTTAGTGCACTAACAAAATTAAATTTCTGAGCCTGTAAAGCTGAGGACTGGACTGTGAGCTCTGTAAATCAACCAAAGTAAATGATACCACGGGATACTCTTGGTACTAGTTGGCTAGCTTTGTTGGTGACCTCTAAGCCTTAGGAAGTCTTTCTTTAGAGCATTTATAGTATTTATTAATTTTTAAAATGAGTTATATGAAAATAAAATATATTTCTCACTGATATTGGATAGGCTAATATCCACTGCTAGCCTATCCAGTATCAGCGGGAAAGTTGCAATAACCCCAATTTTTTTTTTTTTTTTGAGACAGAGTCTCACTCTGTTGCCCAGGCTGGAGTGCAGTGGTACGATCTCGGTTCACTGCAAGATCCGCCTCCTGGGTTCACTCCATTCTCTTGCCTCAGCCTCCCAAGTAGCTGGGACTTCAGGCACCCGCCACCATGCCTGGCTAATTTTTTGTATTTTTAGTAGAGACGGGGTTTCACTGTGTTAGCCAGGATGGTCTGGCTCTCCTGACCTCGTGATCCACCCGCCTCAGCCTCCCAAAGTGCTGGGATTACAGGCGTGAGCCACCACGCCCAGCCAATAACCCAAATTTTAATCCTGTAAGATTAGGCAAGGGAAAATAAATTCCTGACATCAGTTTCACTTGAGAACATTTCAGATATGAGCAGCAGCTTTTTATTTATTTGTTGTACATGAGAGAGTATTTATTGAAAACATGGTTACTGACAGGAAGCTCCTGGCTGCTCTCTAGTTACAATCTTGGCTCACAACTGGAAGTGCTACGTACTTTTTACCTTCACCCTATTTTATTTTCACCCGAGTTTCCATCCTAGATAGGTAGATCTTATATAAATATATATACACGTGTTCATAAGTATGGCCTATAAATATATAGTACAGTCTTCATTGGGTAGTACCCACCATGCCAGGCCACCAATACTGAATGCCACTGGAGAAGCACCTTTTTCAAACAGCAGTATTTTTAATAAAAGTGAAATGTTTTTTCAAATAATTAAGTGGGAATTCTTACCTTTGTTAAATCTAAGAGGCCCACAGGAGTCTACCACAAAGCTATATAATATAGTAGCCTTTCTGGCTGGGCACGGTGGCTCACATCTGTAATCCAAGCACTTTGGGAGGCCGAGGTGGGTGGATCACTTGAGGTCAGGAGTTCGAGACCGGCCTGGCCAATGTGAAACTCCATCTCTACTAAAAATACAAAAAAATTAGTGAGACATGGTGGCACGTGCCTGTAGTCCCAGCAACTCAGGAGGCTGAGGCAGGAGAATTGCTTGAACCCAGGAGGCAGAGGTTGCAGTGAGCCGAGATCGCGCCACTGCACTCCAGCCTGGGTGACAGAGCGAGACTCCAACTCAAAGAAAAAAAAATACATATATATATATATAGAG
This sequence comes from Homo sapiens, assembly GCF_000001405.40. Lineage (NCBI taxonomy): Eukaryota > Metazoa > Chordata > Mammalia > Primates > Hominidae > Homo > Homo sapiens. Next base: position 73,019,007 of record NC_000013.11, on the reverse strand, counting down.
AGAGAGAGAGAGAAAGAGAAAGAGAGAGAGAGAGAGACTGAGATAGAGTAGCCTTTCTGTCTCAGGATCTTAGCATAAAAGCGAATCTGGTTCATTAACAACTTCAACCTCCCTAAAGTGTGGGAATCTTCCTTAACATTCCTGATGTATGATTATCCAAGTATGACTTACTGAAATCAGCAAAAGTGGCATCTTCTTTATATATATAGTGCATTTGGAGTACTTGGGTCACTAGCTGATACTTCTTTTTGGAAATTTCTATACTGAGGATGATGAAAGTAAACTTCCTTTGGTGCTTGAGGTATCATAGAATTCTTTTTCAGGGCCCTTTGAGAAGAAGACAAACAATACATAGTTTGAATGCCTTACACATTTTAGATTTTTCTTGTTTGTTCAATGAAAGAATGTATGAATCAATAAAGTGAATACAAGCCATTTAGTTGGTTCTGAAAGCTGAGTATATCCTGTTAACCTGGTAAGAACTATTATAAGAGTCATGGAATTCTTTAGGAGTTAGAGTCATCTCCCACATGGTCTTAGGATTCCTGGTTTTTCACCCAGGTGGCCTGGGTTCAACTACGAGTATGGGAATGCTAAGCTTCTGCAAAAAAAAAAAAACAAAAAAACAAACAAACAAAAAAACAAAGTTTCAGAACCATGAACTTATCTTGAGCAAAAACAATGCAACTATGCTAAGTCCCATAGCCCCCCTACCCACAAAGAAAAGGTGATAGAACAAAATTTTCGCTGGGAGGGTGGCTTGCGCCTCCAATCCCAGCTACTCACTCTGGAGGCTGAAGTGGGAGGATTGCTCAAGGCCAGTAGTTTGATACTAGACTGGGCAACAAAGTGAGACCATATCTAAAAAAAATTAAAAATTTCCCCTGCATTTCTTGCTATTGAAGTGAGCTTGGGAGCCAGGGATAGGAAGCAAGCAATGAGAAGCAGTGTCGTGTACTGGAAAGAGCGTAGCAACTTGGTTCAAATCCACTTCTATTTATCGTGTGTGTGATCTTGGGCCATTTAGTTACCCTTACTGAGTCTCGGTTTTTTTCATTTTAAAAATGAAGATAATGCTTACTTGACAGAGTTACTGTGAAGATTAAATAAAGAGTAGAAAGCATGTAACACAGCAACTGGCTGACAGAATGAGCTTGATAATGGTGGCTATTACACTTGCATTTGGGCAACATTTCATAAAACATTTATCAAGAAAAAATAATGTTATGATTAATTTTTGTTTTTATTATTTTTAAGTAAGAGCCAGGTGTGGTGACTCACACCTGTAATCTCAGCTACTGGGGAGGCTGAGGTGGGAAAATCACTTGAGCCCAGCCTGACCAACATACTGAGACCCCTGTCTCTAAAAAAGTTTAAAAGAAACTAGCCAGGTGTAGTGGTATGCACCTGTAGTTCCAGCTATTTGGGAGGCTAAGGTGGGAGGATCCCTTTTGCCCAGGAGTTTGAGGCTGCATTGAGCTATGATCATGCCACTGCACTCCAGCCTGGGTGACAGTGCAAGACCCTGTTTCTAGATAGATAGATAGATAGATAGATAGATAGATAGATAGATAGATAAACAGATAGATAAATAGAAAATCCATGACCAGGAGAAGATGAGGTAAGGGTTAAAAAGTAAGACAATTCACAATGGCCAAGAGGTAGAAGGAACCCTAGTCTTCATCCAGGACATTTTTGGCTTGTTAAAACTGGGGGTGGGACCAGGTGAGGTGGCTCACGCCTGTCATCCCAGCACTTTTGAGAAGCTGAGGAGGGAGGACTGCTTGAGCCCAGAGTTCAAGACCAGCTTGAGCAACATAGAGAGACTCTGTCTCTAAAAGAAAAAAAACCCAAAAACCAAAAAACTAGGGTTGCGGTGGGGGTGTAACTGGTAGCTAGTGCTGAAGGCCAGGGATGCTGGTATATATTATGACATGCATAGGATTTACCCTATGTCCACCCTTAAGAAAGAATTATCCAGCCCAAAATGTCAATAGTGGGCAGGGTGTGGTGGCTCATGCCTGTAATTCCAGCACTTTGGGAGGCCGAGGCAGGTGGATCACCTGAGGTCAGGAGTTCGAGACCAGCCTGGCCAACATGGTGAAACCCTGTCTCTACTAAAAATACAAAAATCAGCTGGGCGTGGTGGCGGGTGCCTGTAATCCCAGCTACTCGGGAGGCTGAGACAGAAGAACTGTCTGAACCTGGAAGGCGGAGGCTGCAGTGAGCAGAGATTACGCCACTGCACTCCAGCCTGGGCAACAAAGCAAGACTCCGTCTCAAAAAAACAAACAAACAAAATGTCAATAGTGGTTGAAAAACCTGGACATACATATATATGTGTGTGTGTATATATATATTTCTTTCCTTTTTTCCTCTCTCTTGCCTCCTTCCGTTCTTTTAAAGTATACAACTTCAATGAGAAATGGAGCATATTTTATGACAAAAGAAAATCCTATTGATTTTTTTTCTGACTAGAAATCTGATCCATATTGCATCTGGTCCAACAATGTTATGACTGATGTAGCAACAGACTTTCCACCAAATTTTCACTTTACCAATGGAATAGCAGACTTTCTGCCAGATTTTATTGGTTAATGGTAATATAAAATATAAGAAAAAAACAACTTCAAAAGAGTCAACAATCTGTATCCATCTACATGGTATCTGACCACCATTACTGGGCTTTTGAAGTACCTCGTAGTGGACTTCACAAATGATTCTTAATTTTTAAAAATGCAAAGTGTCTTAGTATTTGTGTATGACATTTAAACTCAGAATTTACGTAGTATAGAAAAATACCAAAATATTTATAAGCCACACACTTAAAATGCATTGAACATTTATGAAAGCTCCAAAATTTAAAGCATAGCATATATATTTATTTTATAAAATAGAAAAAAAAATAAAGTATATTGATTGTTCTTTACACATTTTGATTACACTGAATTTGTTAATTTAATATTAGTTCAAATAAACATTGTTATTTAAAAAATGCTGAGTACACGATTAAGCTGAATTTTGTTTTCCATCAGAAAAAGAACTTCAGGAGTATATAATGGTCTACAGGTGCTTCCCATCCAAAACACTAGGTCTTCATCTTTTGTTTCTTAGACCACTCAGGTGCTTCTTTTTTAGTCTGTTTAAAAAAAGAAAAAGAAAATCCAATAAAATGCTTACAAGGAGGACAAGAGAGGCAACTCAGAGAACTATATACATTGAGGTTTTTTTATGTAAGCTATACTAAAAAATTGCTTTTCTTAATTCAGAAAGGATACTTAAGGGCGAAGACTTTGTCTTTTGCCATAAATAATCTCCCACCTGGTAGGTATATGATAGAAAAAACTGTGTTTTCTTGCTCAAAGCCTATACTTAAGATTTTCTGGGGATGCAATTATTTTACGAATTGATTTTATTTTCAAAGAGAATTATAAAAAAATCAAGGACATGACTTCTTTTCAGTTGTCTCATCTATATAGATAATAGATATTCATTCACTCAATAGATATTTATTAAATAATTACTGTATCCAAATTATTGTGTTTTAGATCTTATGAATTTCTAAGTATTTACCAGAGTACTTCTTGGGTTTATTACTCAATCATTTCAGCCTAAAAGGCGACAGGCTGTACAGAATAGAAAGAAAAAGGCAGGGGAGGTGAATTACAGAATAAAACATTCAGAACTTCACTGATTCCAGTCAAAGTTCCTATTTTGGCTGGGCGCGGTGGCTCATGCCTGTAATCCCAGGACTTTGGGAGGTTGAGGTGGGAGGACTGCTTGAGCCCAGGAGTTCGAGACTAGCCTGGGCAACATAGTGAGACCCCATCTCCACGAAAAGAAAAAACAAGTTAGCCAGGCATGGTGGCATGCACCTGTAGTCTCAGTTAACACGGGAGATGGAGGTGAGAAGATCACTTGACGATGGGCGCGGTGGCCCATGCCTGTAATACCAGTACTTTGGGAGGCCAAGGACAGTGGATCACTTGAGGTCAGGAGTTTGAGATCAGCCTGGCCAACATGGTGAAACCCTGTTTCTACTAAAAATACAAAAAATTAGCCAGGCATGGTAGTGCACACCTGTAATCCAAGCTACTCGGGAGGCTGAGACAGGAGAATTGAACCTGGGAGGTGGAGGTTGCAGTGAGCTGAGATTGTGGTATTGCACTCCAGTCTGAGTGACAGAGCAAGACATCATGTAAAAAAAAATCACTTGGGCCCAGGAGGTCAAGGCGGCTGAAGTGAGCTGTGATCATGCCACTACACTCAAGCCTGGACAACAGAGCAAGACTGTCTTAAAAAACAATTGAGAGGAAGGTACAGAGATATCCCATATACTCTCCGGCTCCACACATGCACAGACTCTTCCATTATTAATATCCCTTAGCACAATGGTACATTTGTTACCACTGATGAACCTACACTGACATATTATCACCCTAGGTCCACAGTTTACATTTGGGTTCACTCTTGGTACTATGCATTTTATGGGTTTGGACAAATGTCTATAGACAGGCATCCACCATTATAGTATCATAATAATATATAGTATCACATAATATTTTCACTGCCCTAGAAATCCTCATAGATTTTTGCATCTACATTCATGAGAGATATTGGTCTGTAGTTTTGTTTTCCTCTAATATCTTTGATTTTGGAATTAGGGCAATGCTGGCCTTGCAAAATGAGCTGGGAAGTATTCTCTCTGCTTCTATCTAATGAAAGAGATTGTAGAGAATAGGTACAATTTTAGCTGGGTGCTGTGGCTCACACCGGGAGGCCAAGGCAGGCAGATCACTTGAGTTCAGGAGTTCAAGACCAGTCTGTGCAACATGGCAAAACTCCATCTCTACAAACAATACACAAATTAGCTGGGCATGGTGGCATGCGCCTGTAGTCCCAGCTACTAGGGAGGAAAAAGGGGGAGGGGAGGAGAGGGGAGTGGAGGGGAGGGGAGGGAAGGGAAGGGAAGGGAAGGGATTCAACAGTGAACCCATCTGGGCCTAGTGCTTTCTGTTTTGAAAAGTTATGGAATAAATTCCTTCAATTTTTGTTTTTTCACTTCTGAAAAGAATAATTTTGCAGGGTACAGAATTTTAGGTTGGTGGTTTTGTTCTTTCATAACGTTAAATGTTTCACTCCACTCTTTCCTTGCTTGCATTGTTTCTGAGAAGTCAGATGTAATCCTTACCTTTGCTTCTCTATAGGTAAGGTGTTATTTTCCTCGGGCTTCTTTCAGGATTTTTTCTTTTTCTTTTTTTTTTTTTTTTTTTTTTGAGATAGGCTCTTGCTCTGTTACCCAGGCTGGAGTGGTATGATCATGGCTAACTGTAGCCTCAACCTCTCGGGCTCAAGTGATAGTCCTGCCTCAGCCTTCCGAGTACCTGGGAATATGGGTGCATGCCATCACTCTCAGCTAATTTTTATATTTTTTATAGAGATGGGGTTTTGCCATGTTGCCCAGGCTAGGATTTTGTCTTTATCTCAATTTTCTGTAGTTTGAAAATGATATGCAAATGATATGCCTAAGTATAGTTTTTCGTTTTTTGTTTTTTTCTTTTTGCATTTATCTTTCTCTGGGTCTGTGGTTTGGTGTCTAACATTAGTTTGGGGGAAATTCTGTCACCGTTTCAAATATTTCTTCTCTTCCTTTCTTTCTTCCATCTCCTTCTAATATTTTCTTTTTTTTTTTTTTTTTTTTTTTTTTGAGACAGAGTCTCGCTCTGTCGCCCAGGCTGGAGTGCAGTGGCGCGATCTCGGCTCACTGCAAGCTCCGCCTCCCGGGTTCACGCCATTCTCCTGCCTCAGCCTCCCGAGTAGCTGGGACTACAGGTGCCCGCCACCACGCCCGGCTAATTTTTTGTATTTTTAGTAGAGACGGGGTTTCACCGTGTTAGCCAGGATGGTCTCGATCTCCTGACCTCGTGATCCGCCCGCCTCGGCCTCCCAAAGTGCTGGGATTACAGGCGTGAGCCACCGCGCCCGGCCCTTCTAATATTTTCATTAAATATATGCTATAGCTTTTGTAGTCATCCTTTAGTCCTTGGATATTTGGTGTCTGACATTAGTTTGGGGGAAATTCTGTCATTATTGTTTCAAATATTTCTTCTCTTCCTTTCTTACTTCTCTTTCTAATATTCTCATTAAATATATGCTATAGCTTTTGTAGTCATCCTTTAGTCCTTGGATATTCTCTTTTTTAGAGGTTTCTGTTACAATACCCTTATTATTATTATTATTATTATTATTGGTGGAGACAGGGTCTTGCTCTGTTGCCTAGACTACAGTGCAGTGGCATGATCATGGCTCACTGCAGCCTTGACCTTCTGGGCTCAAGCGATCCTCCCACTTCAGCTCTTCGAGTTGCTGGGACCACAGGTGTGCACCACAGTGCCTGGCTAAGTGTTTTTTTTGTTTTTTTTTGTTTTTTTTGGTGTGTGTGTGTGTGTAGACAGGGTCTCTTATGTTGCCAAGGTTGGTCTGGAACTCGAACTCCTGGGTTCAAGTGATCCTCTCACACTCCCAAAGTGCTGGGATTATAGGCATGAACCACTGTGCCTGGCCTGAAATATTCTCAAGGTTAGAGATTCTTTCTTCAGCAATGTCCACTGTACTAATCAGGTTATCAAATGCATTTGTCATTTATTTTTTTTTCTGAGACAGAGTCTCACTTTGTTGTCCAGGCTGCAGTGCAGTGGCACAATCTCGGCTCACTGCAACCTTGGCCTCCCAGGTTCAAGCAACTCTCCTGCCTCAGCCTCCCAAGTAGCTGGGATTACAGGTGCCTGCCACTACACCCAGCTAGTTTTTGTACTTTTAGTAGAGATGGGGTTTCACCATGTTGGTCAGGCTGGTCTCGACCTCCTGATCTCAGGTGATCTGCTCGCCTCGGCCTCCCAAAGCATTGGGATTACAGGTGTGAGCCACTGCACCCGGCCAGCATTTGTCGTTTCTGTTATAAGCAGTTTTGATCTCTAGTATTTCTCCTTTTTGGGGGGGTTCTTTCTTAGGATTTTCATCTTTCTGCTCACAGTGCCCATCTGTTCTTGCAAGCTGTCTACTTTATCTGTTGCAGCCCTTGGCATACTAATCATAGTTGTTTTAGGTTCTCTGTCTGTTAATTCCAACATTTATGGCACAATTGACTCTGGTTCTGATGCTTGCACTGTCTCTTCAAACTGTGTTTTTTGGTTTTTAGTCTACCTGGTTAAGTTTTTCCTGATAACTGGACATACTGTACTGGGAAAAAGAAACTGCCGTAAATGGGCCTTTGGTAATGTGGTGGTAAGGTGTGGGGGTAGGGAAGTCATCCTATGGTCCTATGATTAGGTCTCAGTCTTTCAGTTAGAGTGTGCCTCTGGAATATGAACTTTACACACGTTTCTCAGTTTTTTTTCCCTTCTTAGGTGGGCCATGATGGCTAGGTGGGCTGGATTGGGTATTGAGTTTTTCCCAGGTCAGTTAGGCTTTGATAAAGCCCCAGCAGGGTAGCTTCTAGTTAAAATAGCTTCTCCTGAAGGGAGACCTTGTTGAGAACTGAGTTCTCTAACATATTTCAAAATGTTCTTTTTTCCCTCCCACTGCTGGAAACGGAAGGGGATTTTTCTCCCAATATTTACTGTAAGAACTAGGTCAAGCTTCTAAAGTTAAAATTCACAAGAGTGTGGGGGTTCCTTCTATGACTGGAGTTTTTAACTTTCAGACTTGTCCATACCTAACTTCTAGCAGTTACATTCAGGTTTTCCTACCCCAGCACTGGTTCCCATCCATGGGATTTTTTGCTCTGATACATCATCATTCTCTGTATTGGCCTATCTGTCCAATTTTGGGGGCAGCAGTTTGCTTTGTGACCTCACTTCTCTTATGTATTTAAGAAAAGTTGGCTGGGTGTGGTGGCTCACGCCTGTAATCCCAGCACTTTGGGAGGCCAAGGTGGGGGGGATCACCTGAGGTCAGGAGTTCGAGACCAGCCTGGCCAACATGGTGAAACCCTTCTCTACTAAAAATACAAAAATTAGCCGGGTGTGGTGGCAGGCACCTGTAATCCCATCTACTTGGGAGGCTGAGGCAGGAGAATCGCTTGAACCTGGGAGGTGGAGGTTGCAGTGAGCTGAGATCACACCATTGCACTCCACCCTGGACAACAAAGAGTGAAAAACTCTGTCTCAAAAAAAAAAAAAAAAAAAAAAAAAAAAAAGAAAAGTTAATGATTTTCCAGCTCAGCTTTTTATTTGTTGTTAAGATAAGGAAAAGTCAGAGTAAAACTAGGGAATTGCATGATTCTTATACAATCAGATAGATTTGGGTGACTGGGAAAGGTGAGCCAGCTAAAAGTCTAGGGCTGTCACTATTCTTGGTCATAGAAGAACATGTATGCCATTGTTCTTTATTTATTTATTTATTTTCAGATGAAGTCTCATTCCGTTGCCCAGGCTGGAGTGCAGTCACGCAATCTCGGCCCACTGCAACCTCCGCCTCCCAGGTTCAAGCAATTCTCCTGCCTCAGCCTCCCGAGTAGCTGGGACTACAGGCATGCACCACCACCCCTGGCTAATTTTTGTATTTTTAATAGAGATGGGGTTTCACCATGTTAGCCAGGCTGGTCTGGAACTCCTGACCTCAGGTGATTCGCCTGCCTCGGCCTCCCAAAGTGCTAGGATTACAGGTGTGAGCCACAGCACCCGGCCACCATTGTTCTTTAAATTGCAGGTCCCAACCCACGGGTAATGAACTCTAGTAGGTAAAAGAACAGAATTTAGAAAAAAAAAAAAAAAAAAACTAGCATAGAAAATATTAGAGTATTGGCCATAGTGGGGGTAAGTTCTGTTTTGAGAAACTGTGTGATCATTACTAGGTCATAACGTAAATTGTTTTCTCAACTGTGACTCCTGGCCAAAAAGGTGAAAGCAACTGCTATAAACTAAGCTACAGATCCTCGGGATTATACCAAAGGATGCAGAATTGGTTTGTACATTTGCATTTCCTCAATGAACTGATACTAAACTTTTTACTACTACTATGTGTTTACAGGGAGAAGGTAAATAAAAACTTTGGCATTAAAAAGGAATCTTAATACTCAAAAAGGACGGTATAAGAATTTCAATGGCAGACAGTTCTTTCTGACTCTCCTTTTATCTGTGTCTGCTACACTGCAGACCATTACTCCCACCCCTAATATGTTTTCTCCTCCTGTTAATGAGACAGATTTGCCACAGTCAAGTGTACCTTGTCTTGGGGATTAACTGCCTTGCTACTTCATAGGGTGACTTTTCAGATGTCTTATCACAACCATTTTAATTTCAAAGTCTGTTCCCATAGGACTAAGATATGTTCCTTATTCCCAGGTTATTTTGGGTGAACTTCACCATCACTGTCATGTTCTAACCACATTTCACTTAGAAGACTGGCCCCTTTAGGATCTGGCCCATACTTACATATCTAATCCTATTTCTTGACACTCTCCAACATGAACTCAATTATTTGTACTTGGGATTAGTTTAATAGCATTTATTTGACTAACTACTCTGTGCCAGTCCTTGTGTTAGGTTCTGGGGATATAAAAATGAATCAAACCCTGTTACAGAGGCTGCTGGGATCACGCCTCGACCTTTTGGCTGAGATCAAGTGCAGAGGTTGCTGGCTGTCTAGCCTATATCTATTTCACCCTTCTTAATAACAGAACTCTGATTTTATCAGTAAAGCAATAGATTCACCCTGTATAAAACATTTATCAGCCTTCCTTGCTGCTAGGTGTGGCCACACGACTAAGTTCTGGCCAATGGGATATAAGCTGAAGATGTTGGGTAGGACTTAGGGAAAAACTCCTTTGGAAAGGGAGACTATTTTCCTCCCTTTTTCTCGCTTCCCGCTTAAAATGCAGACATGATGGCTGAGGCCAGAGCAACCATATTGTGATTCTAAGAACAGATGCCACACTCTAAGGATGGTTGAAGAGAAAGGAAGAGGGAATCTAGGTTCCTGATGACTTCATAGGGCCACATACTTGTCCTGAAATAGTTATCTCCAGGCCTGTATGTGAGAGACTGAACAATTTGCTAAAGCTGCTGAACTAGCAGTGGGACACAATTCCTAAAGATGCTGACTCTTATACTCTTAGTTTATACCATTTATCTTATCTCATGTTGTATCTTCAGCATGCAGGGAAGTGTCTCGCCAGCAGTAGGTGTTCGATGTCATGCCTTCTTTGATTTTTGTGGTTTGAGCACCGTATAGTACAGTGGTTAAAGCACAGGTTCTAGCCATTTATTAATTTTGCAAAGTGGGCAAATCGAGGACTTCTCAGTTACCTCATACATTTTCTCCATAGCATTTGTCATGTTTTCACATCTTATTCAATTTATTTTTTTGTTTGTCGGTTTATAGTCTATCTCTATCCATGAATGTAAGATCCACAGAGGCAGGAATTATTTATATCTCTACTGCTTGGAATAGTACTTGGCACAAAGTAAGTGCTCAATAAACATTTTTCAATGAATGAATGAATGTTTGGGTCTGCTGTGACAGAAGCCTTTCAGTTCTATTTAAGTCTGGGCATAAAGTTTCATGTGAGTCTATTCAAGCCTTTCTACTATGCAAGACAAAAGAGAATTCTACTACAGTAATGCAATAATATGCTTTTAACTAATCAGGCAACATCACCCTTTACAAGCATCAGGGGTAGTACTTGTGATTCTAAGCAACAGCCTGATTTTTGAGTGGAAATGGTAAATAACCAGTAAGGCATGGAAACAGCATATTTTGCTGTATGAACTCAAATTTACTTATATCATTCAAAGATATTTTCAATCCTTCGATTGGTGAACTTTTTCCTTCGGTTATATTATTCTCTGAAATTCAGGTTCTCTGTTAATTACATTAGCATAGAGTATGTCAGAGTGATTTCTCACCTACATTAGTATGTAAGTCTCATCACTACCAAAATTTGAACAGATTCCAAGTAGATAATACTGCTTCTGAAAAGTTTATTTCTGATTTTCATAAAATGTATATTCTTCATTTCCAGATATTTTAGTCAGTAATGTGCTAGCCATTAGTGATAGCCCTGTTCCAAACACTGGAAGTTTCTAAGCTTTTATCAACTCCTGAGATAGATCATGGATCAGTAAACTATGGTCCATGGTCTGTTCTTGTATGGGGTGCATGCTAAGAATGGTTTTGACATTTTTTTTTTTTTTTTTGAGATGGAGTTTGGCTCTTGTTGCCCAGGCTGGAGTGCAACAGTGCGATCTTGTCTCACTGCAACCTCTGCCTCTTGGGTTCAAGCGATTCTCCTGCCTCAGCCTCCCGAGTAGCTAGGATTACAGGCGTGCGCCACCACGCCCGGCTAATTTTGTATTTTTAGTAGAGATGGGGTTTCTCCATGTTGGTCAGGCTGGTCTTGAACTCTCGACCTGAGGTGATCTGCCCGCCTTGGCCTCCCAAAGTGCTGGGATTACAGGCGTGAGCCACTGCGCCTGGCCTAGTTTAAAAGGTAAAAAACAAACGAACAAAGAATATACAATAGAGTTTGCTGGCTCTTGGTAACTGATTGTTAAAATGGGCACAGCAAAATAATTCAGATGTATAATTAACTGATTTTTGGAGAACTGCTTGAACCCAGGAGGTGGAGGCTGCAGTCAGCCAAGATTGCGCCACTGCACTCCAGCCTGGGTGACAGAGTGAGACTCCATCTCAAAAAAAAAAAAAAACAAAAACAAAAATTAACTGCTTTTTATTTTGATAATTCCATTCTTTTAGCTCTTTGATCAGCAGTGTTTCTTTTTTCTATTTTATTAAAGTTACTTCCCTTTATATCCATAAGATGGTGCTTTATATGACAAAATTTGACATTCTGCTTCAGGTATTAATGGGATTAACCATTTAACTGAGTAGGGTCCTTATTTTAAATATAAGGCTTATAGGCTTCATAATATGAAGTGCTTTACAGATATATATAAACTATATATGCATATATATTTTACATACACATTATATATATATATATGTATACAAATTAATAAAAACCTTAAATTGTTAGTGGAGTATTAACAGGCCCTAAAGTATACTATATTCCAGATTTAGGAAAGAGAGCACAAAGCCATTGCAGAAACAAATGACAAGACTAACTGGAAACTTACCAGAAGTAATTTACTATGTTACAAGGTGATTTTGGAAACAAATAACTGATAAGATAGATACTTCTGTGTCACCCAGAATTAGCCAGCTAAAACGTTAATATATAACATGGGGATTATAACCCATTGAGAGGGTTAGTTAAAATTAGAAAGAATGATGACTGATAAATGCAGACATAGTAAGCCTGGCAGATTACTCCTGTAATCTAAAAAAAGAGCTAGAAATTAAGAATCTATTAGTGTTTAACCAGTACCACTTCTCTAAGGAAAAAAAATCTATGTCTGGTAGATATCATTACTTTGTTTTCCAAATAAGATATAAACTGGAAATCAAATAAGTAAATATTGAGAAGTCCTCATAGGCAGGGCCCAACTTAAGTGAGTTTAAGACAGTTGATCTGGCTTTATCACTAACAAAATGTGAAGCTGTCTGAGATCAGTCAGCTTCGTTCCATGCTCACCAAAAAATTCCTGATTTCTAGTTTAGCTCACCAGCTAAATTAAATAACATCAGGAAGAGGTTACAATTAGTGTTCCTGACACTAGAAATTAAAAAATGAATATTTAAAAATGTATATGTAAACAGCTAGATATTTTGAGGTCCGGTCATACTTTGGTGAGATGAGTCTACATTCAACATAAAAAAGTGAGACCGGGCCAGGCGTGGTGGCTTATGCCTGTAATCCCAGCACTTTGGGAGGCCGAGGTGGGCAGATCACTTGAGGTCAAGAGTTCGAGACCAGCATGGCCAATATGGTGAAACCCCGTCTTTACTAAAAACACAAAAATTATTGGGCATGGTGGTGCGTCCCTGTAATCCCAGCTACTCAGGAGGCTGAGGTGGGAGAATTGCTTGAACCCAGGAGACGGAGGTTGCAGTGAGCCGAGTTTGCACCATTGCACTCCAGCCTGGGCGACAGAGCAAGACTCCATTTCAAAAAAAAAAAAAAAAAAGTGAAACCAGAACTTCTAAACACAAATATGACACAGAAGTGTTACAGGTATGTGGAGCTTTTGTTCTCCTCAGTCCCCAGTGCCTGGGGTGGCTGGAGTCCCTTCAATCTACCAGCAAGTTCAGTTATCCTGTTGTGCCATAGAAATATTATAATTTTCCATGTGTGTTATAAAAAATGTTGGGAGGCACAGTGTTAGGACATGATTCTGTGATGACGCTACCCTAGTGTGGCATCCTTGTCACTTGTCTAAACACAACCAATTGTACTCATTATATTACTATATTATAAATAACTGCTACGTTCCATTTTTGATAAAATTATAAACTTTCCCTCATGAATAAATGAGAAAAATTATTTTTGTAACCTACTTACAATTTTTAAATTAAATTAAAAATTTAAATTTATTTTTTATTTTATATTTCATCATTTTATATATATTATTTTGAGACAGGGTCTTGTTCTGCCATCCAGGGTTGAGGGCAGTGGCGTGAACATGGCTCACTGCAGCCCCAACCTCCTGGGCTCATGTGATCCTCCCACCTCAGACTCCCAAGTAGCTTAGCATCATAGGCACATACCACCATGCCTGGCTAATTTAAAAAAAAAATTTTTTTTTTTTTTTTGGTAAAGGTAGGATCTCACAAAAGTTTTTGCCCAGGCTTTAAAAAGTTTTTAAAAAGAAGATTGTGGTAAAATACATATAACATAAGATTTATCCCATTAACTATTTTTATTTTTATTTGAGATGGAGTTTCACTCTTGTTGCCCAGGCTAGAGTGCAACGACGTGATCTCGGCTCATCACAACCTCCCCCTCCCAGGTTCAAGTGATTCTCCTGCCTCAGCCTCGGGATTACAGGCATGCACCACCACGCTTGGCTAATTTTTGTATTTTTAGTAGAGACGGGATTTCTCCATGTTGGTCAGGCTGGTCTCCAACTCCTGATCTCAGGTGATCCCCACACCTTGGCCTCCCAAAGTGCTGGGATTACAGGTGTGAGCCACAGTGCCCGGCCAACCATTTTTAAATGTACATATCAGTGGTATTACTTACATTCACATTACGATGCAACTATCACTACTGTCCATCCATAGAACTCTTTTCATCTTGCTTGACTGAAACTCTCTACTTGTTAAACAATAAATCCCCATACCCCCTAGCCCCTGACAACCACCACTCTACTTTCTGTCTCTATTAATATGACTAGGTATAACCTATCTACTTTTATTTCCCTTTTGTACTATGGGAAAGGATTAACAGATAGTGAATTGGCCAAAGTCAGACGTAAGAATATAGTAAGAAAGGAATAAAGTCTAGATATAGAAAATACATATTAGACATCCTATTCTTCAACAATTAAAAAGGAGCACAAGTTAGAAAATATTTTGTGAATATCACATTTTCTTTTCTTTCTTTTTTTTTTTTTTTGAGACAGAATCTCGCTCTTCACACAGGCTGCAGTGCAGTGGCACAATCTCGGCTCAATGCAACCTCCGCCTCCTGGGTTCAAGTGATTCACTTGTCTCAGCCTCCTGAGTAGCTGGGATTACGGGTGCCTGCCACCACACCTGGCTAATTTTTGTATTTTTAGTAGAGATGAGGTTTCACCATGTTGGCCAGGATGGTCTCAAACTCCTGATCTCAGGTGAGCCGCCCACCTCGGCCTCCCAAAGTGTTGGGAGTACAGGCGTGAGCCACCGCGCCTGGCCAATATCATATTTTCTTTGCTCTTGGAATTTCTAAATAATGCTCATCTTCACTTGTCAAAATCCATGCATTCTTTAAAGCCAAGCTCAAATACTTCCTTTCTGACAAGGCAACCTAGAGTCCTCCAAAACCACAGTGTCTATTCTTTCTCTGAATTTTCATAGCAATTTGTATTTCCTTTAAAGTAGGATACCCAGGCCAGGTGCAGTGGCTGATGACTATAATCCCAGCACTTTGAGATTATAGCCATGGTGGGAGGATTGCTTGAGCCCAGGAGTTCAAGACCAGCCTGAGCAATGCAGTGAGACCCTGTCTCTACAAAAAATAAAGAAAAATAGCTGGGTGTGGTGGTGTGCACATGTGGTCTCAGCTATTTGGGAGGCTGAGTTGGGAGGATCACTTGAGCCTGGGAGATTGAGGCTGCAGTGAGCCGTGTTCATGCCACTGCACTCCAGCCTAGGTGACAGAGCAAGACCGTGTCTCAAAAATAAAACAAAAAAAGTAGGCTAACTGATTTTGCCTTATATTATTGTTTACTAAGCTTGATCCTATAGGAGCAGCAGTTTTAATGCTGATGCTGTCTTAATGATCATCACAGGCTCTTGCATATAGTCAGTAAATGCTTCTTGAATTGACTACACTAATTTTCCTTCCAGGCCAGGTGCGGTGGCTCACACCTGTAATCCCAGCACTTTGGGAGGCCAAGGTGGGTGAATCATCTGAGGTCAGGAGTTTGGAGACCAGCCTGGCCAACATGGTGAAACCCCGTCTCTACAAAAAAATACAAAAAATTAGCGGGGCATGGTGGCATGTGCCTGTAATCCCAACTGCTCAGGAGGCTGAGGCAAGAGAACTGCTTGAACCCAGGAGGCGGAGGTTGCAGTGAGCCAAGACTATGCCACTGCCCTCTAGCTTGGGCGACAGCGTGAGACTCTGTCTCAAAAAAAAAAAAAATTTTTTTTTCTTTCCAGATGACATATAGCTTTCCAAAGCTCTTCTAGGGAATCATGTCGTTCATATAACCACTTATGTATCAATTATATAAACTTAATCTATCTATACAACATATGCTAGCCAATGAGATAACAAATGTAAGTCAAGGCCTGAACTACGTCGTAAACTCACCAAAAATCAGACACTTCACACACTATACACTGGAGGTGCACAATCGTATTGTTTGCTACCATACTTAGAGCCTAAGGCTTTTTTTTTTTTTTTTTTTTTTTTGAGACCAGAGTCTTGCTGTGTCGTCCAGGCTGGAGTGTGGAGGCATGATCTTGGCTCATGCAACCTCCACCTCCCAGGTCCAAGTGATTCTCCTGCCTCAGCCTCCCAGGTAGCTGGGACTACAGGCATGCACCACCACACCTGAATAATTTTGGTATTTTTAGTAGAGACGGGATTTCAGTATGTTGGCCAGGCTGGTCTCGAACTCCTTACCTCAGGTGATCCGTCTGCCTCGGCCTCTCAAAGTGCTGGGATTACAGGTGTGAGCCACTGCGCCCAAGCTCTTTTTTGTTTTAATGCTTACAATCTACTTGGTGAAAAGACTAAAAGTAGAGTTGCTAGTATCTGCATTTTTAATAAGGTATTGAGAAAATAATGACAATGATGTGAATCCTGAGTATAAATTCTATTTTCGAATAGGATGGCAGCAGAAAAGCAGCAAAAGAGTCCCATACTGCTCAGGAAGGAAAGAGGAAAGTTGTTCTAAATCAGATTAGAATAGCTCTAGGTTTTTCTAAGAAAGAGATAAGTGAGGCTGGGAAAAAAGGGATAGCACAGCAAAAAGCTACCTTAAGAGTGAAAGTAGGTGATTAGTGGGAATGAACTGGGTGTTTCTGAATAAAGAAGACTTAAGTTGCCTGTTGCAGAAGTAGCACTAACTAGAGTCATGGGAGGTGAAGCTTTCATTCTCCCTGTAGTTTACTTTAACATTAAAGTTCCCCACCCAGTTTAGAGTTTTAACAGCTAAGAACATAACTAAACTGGGGAGACAAATAACTCCTTTTTTTCTCTTCAGCAAATATTTATTGAGTATCTGCTTTGTTCAGATGCTATGCAAAACAAAAGGAATACAGTTTCTGTCCTTAAGGCACTTACATTCTGTGGTTCAATTAGTTTTTGTTGGTACACTAAGTGCCTGAACAATGACTCTGTCACATATGTCATTTCAAAGGCCAGAGCTTTTCTAAAAAAGGGAATTTTGAGGTTGCCTTCAGATGTAAATATCACTTGTACACTGTAAAACATTTGTATACATATAAAAAAGCACATTAAAAAAAGTCTTGTCAGGTGCTGTGGCTCACGCCTGTAATCCCAACACTTTGGGAAGCCGAGGTGGGCAGATCACGAGGTCAGGAGTTTGAGACCAGCCTGACCAACATGGTGAAACCTTGCCTCTACTGAAAATACAAAAATCAGCTGGGCGTTGTGGCACATGCCTGTAATCCCAGCTACTCAGGAGGATGAGGCAGGAGAATCACTTGAACCTGGGAGGCAGAGGTTGCAGTAAGCTGAGATCACGCCACTGCACTCCAGCCTGGGCGACAGAGTGAGAGACTCCATCTCCAAAAAAAAAAAAAGTCTTCAGAAGAAGACCTAAGTGTCAAAAAAAAAAAAAAAAAAGTCAAGCTCTTATTTCTCCTCCTCTGCGTCACAGCACTGCTCCCACTCCATTACCCAGTTAACAGTAGTTTTGTGTGGCTCGCCTCATATTGTCAATGCATATGGAAACGCTCATCCATCCACCCATCCATCACTGAATTTACTATCAGGGGAAAATACCTATAGCAAATACTTTCAGCCAAAGGATCTGGATTTAGAAATGTTTTCATTTTAGGTATAAAACCATGAGATTATAAAATGATTAGCTCTTACTTCAAATATTAGCGTGGTAAATTCCTTATCAACAAGTTCAGAGAAAATATAAAAAAGTATTCTTATGGAAAATTGAAAATATTCAAAAGAATAACTAAAAATTATGATGCCTGAAGAGAATCATAGCATGCTAGAATAAAAGGAGTCCAGAACTCATTTCATTATAACCTCCCACTTAATTTTATAGATAAGAACACATTGAGAACATTTAATGATTTGCCCCAGGTTATCTAGTCGGTTCACCTTACTAATTCTGCATTAGCTTACAGTCTTTGATTTGACTTGTTTGTAGTATTACCTCTCAGTTTTCATTAGGACATAGCTGAGCTTGTACCTCTTTTGAAAAAAATTTCCCTTATTATTATTTAAAAAGAATTTTATTGTAGAATAAAATAGAAAATCCAGATAAGCAAAAATAAGGAAGGAAGAACTACCCAACTAATATTGAATCTTCTTAATTTTATCATCACTGCATAACCTTATCTGGAGGTACTGGGGAAATCTTATTGTTACTCATGTACTGATTGATTATAGCCGGTATTCCAGAAAATCACAATCAGGTTACCAAGCTAAAGCTAGAAATGCAGAAGGTCAGGGTCAGAAGGAATAGTGCCACTGCCTGGAGCAGAGTAGGATCAGAAAGGCAGATCAGAGAGTGCTGACAGGCTTTAAGTATTCAGCTGTATCTTGTGGTTTTCATCTGACCCTATTTCCCATTAATGTGTATGTATTCAATCTGCTTTCTTCCTATAGATTATAATAGACACAGCATAGTGTCTGCCACAATCTCTGCCCACTCTCTGAGCAAAACCTGCCTAGCCATAGCCCTTAATAAACAGTCCTCGGCAGCTGTATTTGGAACTGTGTGACTCCTGCTCACCATTAAGGGCAGCCATTCTGTAGGCTGGGTAATAAGCTTAGGAAGTCTTGCCAAAAAGGGGTATCACCCAACAAGAATTAGCTATGCCAATTAGATTGTTAGTCTTGGAAAATACAGGGAGAACTACATTATAAGAGAGTAGATGCAGAAAGGATGTACAGAAACCTGTTTCAAGACAAAGGGCTGTGAGCAAGTTAATGAGGAAGTGGAAAACATGAGTAAGCAGAAACTAGAGGAGAAACAAAGAGAAGCTGATGTACTACAGAGGAAAAGATGCATGGACTCAGCCGCCTTGTGTCCAGGCTAGTCAACTGAGCCATCCTGTTTTCTCCCGCCTGTCAGCTTAGTCTACATTACTGCCACACGTATCCTTAAAATAATTGTCCCTTATTTTATTTTATTTTATTTTTTGAGGCAGAGTTTCACTCTCTCGCCAAGGTGGTGAATGCAGTGGTGCCATCGCACCGACAATTCTCCTGCCTGTCTCCCAAGTAGCTGGGACTACAGGCGTGTGCCACCACACCCGGGTAATTTTTGTATTTTTAGTAGGGATAGGGTTTCACCATGTTGGCCAGCCTGGTCTTGAACTCCTGACCTCAGGTGATCCTCCCACTTTGGCCTCCCAAAGTGCTGGGATTAGAGGTGTGAGCCACCATGTCTGCCCAATTGTCTCTTATTTGATCTAAACTGCAACTTTCATTTTTTTAAAAAGGGAGGTTGAATTATATAATCACTAAAAAATCTCTTTCATCCTATTAATCTTCAGTAGCATTATCTGCATGTATAATAAAATGACTGAGATCAGAAGTTCTCATATTTGACTATTATATTCAACTTGGGAGTTAAAAAAATTAAGATTCTGGGGACTCACTGAATCAGAATATCAGAGAAAATCTTTCTGGTTTTGAGTCTCTATGTTTAGCAGATAAAAATCATGTTTCTCCTGAGAAATGAAAGCATGATTGAGAAACCATTTGAAGTAAAATGGAATATTTAATAATGTTACTCCTATTTTAATTCTCTTGCCTTTTAATCTTGATTCTTATTATTTGTTAAAATATATAGTTTTCAATATTTCCTAATTTATTTTCTCTATTTTTAAAAATTGGCACATAATAACTGTACATATTTTTGGTATTTTACCTTTTAATCCAAATTTTTCTTATTTCTTTTTCTTTAATTTCTGTGCACATATATTTTTAGCTAACAATGCATTTCAGTTTATGTTAATTGATTTCACACTTTATGAGGAATTACAGTAAAATATACTATCATCTATAAGATAGGTAATATACACATTTAGAAAATGGATTAATGCAAATCCTTCAAGGTCTTTTCATGAAACATATTTGTGGAATCTACTCATTTCATAAATGTAAAAGGAAAAAATTAACTAAAATACATTTAGTAAGAATCAGGAATATTAAAATTATGAGTTTTAAAAATTGTACTTACAAAGAGTGTTGGTTTAGGTGTAAATATATTGTCTTCATGCTCTTTAGGCACATTCAAAGTCTTTGATTTCTGATTTTCTGTCACATGTTTTGGTTCTGTTTTAGTGAGAAGTAAGCTGTTCTCAGAATGTTTACTATGCATCTTAACGAGAATCTGTTTCATTGCTGCCAATTCCTGTTGATATATGAAAACAGAAGAAAGTAGCAAGAGTGATTTTAGCAAGCAGACTAATAATGATTAATATTAAAATATTTTTAAGTAGAAGAAACAATTATACTACACACATAAGTTGTGAAAATAAAATAGTAATTAGAATCATGCACATGAATCTTTTGATCATTAATACTCATTTAATATAACTGACAATTACAACATTCTATAGTCTAGTGGTTTCCACGTTTTTCTGCACACTGAAATCACCTGTGGAGCTTCAAATATTGCCAGTGATGACTGTGTCCCAACCCCAGAGACTGTGAGATAATTGATGTGGTGTGGCCTGGGCTTTGGAATTTTTTTTTTTTTTTAGATAGGATCTCACTGTCACCCAGGCTGGAGTGCAGTGGTGTGGTCTCGGCTCACTGCAGCCTCTACCTCCTGGGCTCAAGCCATCCTCCTGCCTCAGTGCCTGAGTAGCTGGGACTACAGGCGCATGCCACCACGCCCAGCTAATTTTTTTGTATTTTGGAATTTTTGAAGATCTCAAGTGATTCTAATAGACAGACAAATTTGGGAACCACTGGCATAGCTACCTTCCACTGTAGATGCTCCACATATATTCGCTGAGTAGACTATTTAAGCATTTAACTTTTTCTCTTCTTCTTTTAAACTGTCGCATTTCCTTTGAATTCTTATATAAAGATGGTAGAGAAAAAGAATCCAATCTTGGCTACTAGTCAGCAGTTAAACAGTAAGTTTAATACAGATTCAGGATTTCTTTAGCTGTATTATCCCTTATCCTTTTACAAATGATAAGTGGGGTTGGCTTCAGTTGCCCTTTGAACTAAGAATTAATTGTGATGAACTTTTTGAAGAGATCAAAAATTTCACCCGTTCTTGCTCCCAAGTGTATTTGTCTTTCATATCCATAGACAAATCTTTAGTACATAACACTAGTGGGTATTTATGATTAATTACTAAATTGATACATCATATACAAGTATATGGAGAGATGACAGGCTAAACTCTTCTTAATCTTTATTTATCAGAACAGAACAGTGGTAGGCTATGTAACAGGTAATTTTTTCCTATTATCTTATTGTATCTTCATGCCAAAACACGAAAGTTATGGTGATAGAACAATGTTCTGCTCTCTTCTACTAATCTGTTTATAGACACCAGCTCTGTGTCACAGCAAGTTCCTACAGGCCTTTCTCTTCTGGCTGTCATTAGTTCTATTTAGAACCATCTAACTTGAGTGAGTATTTTAAAGCAGTGTTGCTGAGTTTAAGCCATATAACCTTAATAGATTTTAGGGTTGCGAGACGTGTCAGAAGAAATGGTGTCAGAATCCTTTCTCCTTTCTGCAGTAGTGGGCCTGGCTTGGCCAATGTACATGAGAATGCATATACTTGCAGACATTGCCAATCTGATATATGATTATCTGGGCCATTTGGGGACTCTTTTTGCTTTCAAGATTATGTTGTTTCATTTATATGCTCCACTATGGTGAAGTATATAATTATTGATTTGATGTCAAATGGGTATGGTGTTATGGTAGATTTCAGCTCCTGTTCTACTTACCAAGATAAGTAGAAGGGAAAGCCTATGAAAAGAAAAACTTTCTATCTGAAAGAACATCTCTTTATTAGCCACAACTTTTCTATCTTTGGCATGAAGATAAAATAAGAGCAAAAATCCCCTCCAAAACAATCTAGCACTATTCTACAGATAAATAAGGTAAAGGGGGGTTTAGTGGTCAGGAGATTAGAAGGGAAATTCACATCTTTGCTTTATCCTAAGATCACCCCAGTTTGGGGTGTTGTCACAGTACCACTTTCGTTAATGTGACTGTACAAAAAATATTAGCAGTTTCTGAAATCCAGGCAAAGAACACTTTAAGATCAGCAAAATTCTGTAAAATTCTTATTAGGATAATACAGCTACAGTGGGTACCCAAATAACATTTAGAACACATTTTCAATTTTATTATGTTTGGCTTATATAATGATCCAACTTATATCGATGGTAAATTTGAACCAAGAAAATTCCACTTCAATTTTTTTTTTTTTAGAGACAGGGTCTTGCTCTGTTGTCCATGCTAGAGTGCTATGGTGTGATCACAGTTCATTCAAACCATCCTACCGCCTCAGCCTCCTGAGTAGCTAGGACTACAGGGGCATTCCCCCACACCCAGCTAATTTTTAAATTTTTGGTAGAGATGAGGTCTTACTATGTTGCTCAGGCTGGTCTCTCACTCCTGGCCTTAAGTGATTCTCCAGCCTTGGCCTCCCAAAGTGCTGGGATTATAGGCATGAGCCACTGCACCTGGCTAAGCACATGTAGTGGTACTATTTTAGTATAAAGCTATTAGCAAACGACACATCTATTCTTGACATTATTATTGTTTAAACTTAGGCTGCCTAATCTAGTTCAATGAGCTTTAGTTTTATAATTGATAAAATGTAAGCTTCTGTTACCTTTTAGGATTTTTGCCAGTCTGATAAGGGTTTGTGTATGTTTATTTTGCATTCCTTTTACAGTGAAGTTGAGCAGTTTTTTTTTTTTTTTAATATATTGAAGGTTTTTTTTCAGTTGATTGCCTTGGCCCATTTTTCTACTGAGTGGTCATTTTCTTATACATTTCAAGGAGCTCTTTATATGTTAGGGAAATTAGCCCTTTGTCTTTAATATGAGTGGCAATTTTTCCAGTTTACCTCTTACTTGACTTTGTTTATGACCCCCCCCCCCCGCTTTTTTTTTTTTGTTATGAAGAACATTTGATTGTGATGTAGCAGAATATGTCAATCTTTTCTTCTGTGGTCTTCTCCATGTTTTTTTCCTATATTTTCTTAAGTTACTTTTGTGGTTTTTCTTTTCTTTTTTTTTTTGAGATGGAGTCTCGCTCTGTCATCCAGGCTGGAGTGCAGTGGCAAGATCTCGGCTCACTGCAATCTCCGCCTCCCAGGTTCAAGCAATTCTCTGCCTCAGCCTCCAGAGTAGCTAGGATTACAAGCACCCACAACCACGCTCAGCTAATTTTTGTATTTTTAATAGAGACGGGGTTTCACCATCTTGGCCAGGCTGGTCTTGAAGTCCTGACCTCGTGATCCACTCGCCTCGGCCTCCCAAAGTGCTGGGATTACAGGCGTGAGTCACTGTGCCCAGCCTCTTTTCTTTTTCAAACATATAGATCTTTGATTGGTTTAAAGTTTATCCTGGCTTATGGTAAAACATATGAATACAACATCTGTCCCCTCAAGATGGCTCTCCTATAACAACATCATGTACTGAAGAGACCATTTTTTCCCCCACTGATGCCATCTTTATAATGTACTAAACTGCTGTAAGTATATTATTTATTTATGGACTTTAAAACTCTGTTTCTACAGTCTGTCTATTTATGCACCCATGTCGCACTGTTTTAATGTTTTACTCTTTAATGAATGATGTATTTTTCTGGCTGTATTCTTGGAGATAGGCGTGGGATCATGCTGAAGGGAAAACAAAATTAGAAAGAACTTTTTTTTTTTTTTTTTGAGACGGAGTCTCATTCTGTCGCCCAGGTTGGAGTGCAGTGGTGTGATCTCGGCTCACTGCAACCTCTGCCTCCCAGGTTCAAGCAATTCTCTGCTTCAGTCTCCCAAGTAGCTGGGATTACAGGTGCCCACTACCATGCCCGGCTAATTTTTTGTTATTTTTAGTAGAGACGGGGTTTCACCATCTTGGCCAGGCTGGTCTTGAACTCCTGACCTCATGATTCACCCACCTCAGCCTCCCAAAATGCTGGGATTACAGGTGTGAGCCACCGCACCTGTCCGCAAGAACCTCTTTATTATATTAAGTGTTCACAGCCATGAAAGTATTTGAATATGTCTTACACCGACCTTTTTGACATAAATTGTCCTATCCTAGTTGATGCTACTATTACAATGAAATGATCATGATTCATGAGATCCCAATTCACAAACTGACAAAGCAAACAGGAAACAATCCAACATAACAGGCAATAATTAGAAAACATTTTTGTCACTACGAAGAGAAATCCTTTGGTAAGATGAAATCATTTTGAAGCCCTCTGCTTTGCTTCTAACCTGGTTCGGTTCTTATCCTGTGTCTGGCTTCTGGGTATTGGCTT
The DNA here is from genome assembly GCF_000001405.40 of Homo sapiens. Lineage (NCBI taxonomy): Eukaryota > Metazoa > Chordata > Mammalia > Primates > Hominidae > Homo > Homo sapiens. Next base: position 72,994,701 of record NC_000013.11, on the reverse strand, counting down.
CATCTCGTATTTCAGATTCCGCTCTCATTGTTTGCATTTGAGTTTGGCATCTCATCTCCCTGCCTTTTGATTCTACTTTCCTCTTCTATAACTATCATTTTTCTGATTGGTCAGTGGGTTTATTTGCAGCATTGCCTCATTATTTGTAAATATTGTTTATTGCAGAGAATGTGACTACAGAAAAGGAAACTGTGATGCTCAAAGAAGAATGTTTTAAGTACTAAGTTTGACTGGATTCTTTTTCTTATACTGTATCTACTGCTCAAAAATCATGCCATTGATTTAGGTTCCTATTTGTACTTCAACTTTCCAACAAATATTTTTTTCCCCTCTTTTCAGAGTTTCTGCCCTTTTGTTTTCTCATTGATAGAAACAATGTACGCCTTTTTCCTTATTACCTAATATTATCTAGCTTCTTAATCGTGTTGTTTGCTGAGATTAATTCTGTACTGACTGCTTTTAAGACTGAAATTTCTTTTTATTGTACACTTTGGCAAGTTCCACTATTTCTTCCACTTCCCTCTCTTTCTCTCCCTTCCCCGCCTCCGGCCTCTACCTCCCTTTCTCCCTTTTTTTTTCTTTTTTTTTTGAGACAGGTTCTTGCTCTGTTGCTCAGGCTGTAGTGCGGTGGTGCAAATATGGCTCACCACAGTGCCTTCACTCTGGGGCTCAAGGGATCCTACTGCTTTAGCCTCCTGAGCCGCTGGCACCACATGCACCTACCACTGTCCCCAGTTAACTTTTTAACTTTTTGTAGAGACTGTGTTACCCAGGCTAGTCTTGAACTCCTTCCTCCCTCATTCTGTTTGTTATTTGATGGCATACAATTTATTAATGTTCTGAGAGGGTGCTGGTGCTGTAAAAGAAACATGCTTTCATGGTATTACTGCTCTGTCTTCTAAAATCAAATTTCTGAAAACTCTGATGCCATCCTGATTCTTTTTTTTTTTTTTTTTGAAATGGAGTCTCGCTCTGTCGCCCAGGCTAGAGTGCAATGCCGTGATCTTGGCTCACTGCAAGCTCTGCCTCCTGGGTTCACGCCATTCCCCTGCCTCAGCCTCCCGAGTAGCTGGGACTACAGGCGCCCGTCACCATGCCCACCTAATTTTTTGTATTTTTAGTAGAGTCAGGGTTTCACTGTGTTAGCCAGGATGCCATCCTGATTCTTTATTTCCTTGTAGGTATTTTCTTTCTTGCGAGAATCTTCTATGTCCTTTGGCTTTCCATCTTTTTACCTTTTTCTAAGTTTTTGGAGGGTTTAACTTTTCCTATATCCCTCTATTGGCAGTTTTACTTATACTTTATTTACTTCATGATTTTGACTTTCGCAATTCTTCAAAATATCACAATTTATTTTTATTTTTATTTTTATTTTCTGGAGACAGGTCTTGCTCTGTCGCCCAGGCTGGAGTGCAGTGGCACAATCTTGGCTTACTACAACCTCCGCCTCCTGGGCTCAAGCGATCCTCCCACCTTAGCCTCCTGAGTAGCTGGGTCTACAGGCATGCACCAACCATGCCCGGCTAATTATTTTTGTATTTTTTTGTATAAATGGGGTTTCGCCATGTTGCCCAGGCTGGACTCAAGCAATCCACTTGCCTTGGCCTCTCAAAATGTGGGGATTACAGGCGTGAGCCACTGCATCTGGCCTACTGATTTTTATATTAGGGAAATATTACTTTTCCAAATCTTTCTGAAGAAATTAATTATAACAATGTGGAAGTTCTTTTCTGCTCCAGAATTTGTTTTTCCCCCAGTTTATCTGTTTATTGCTATTTTTTTCCTTCTATGCTTTTTCTTCCAGTTTCTGATAGTTTTTGGTTGTGTGATCCCATTTATGAATAAAGGACCAGCTCACATGTTTTCTTTCTGCCTTATGGCCTTTTTTATTTTTTCTGAGACAAGGTCTGGCTCTATCACCCAGGCTGGAGTGCAATGGTGCGATTTTGGCTCACCTCTGCCTCCCAGGCTCAAGCAATGGTCCCACCTCAGCCTCCTTGGCAGCTGGAACTCCAGGCATGTACCACCATGCCTGGCTAATTATTTTTTTATTTTTTTATCTTTCATTTTTGTGGAGATGGGGTTTCACCATGTTGCGCAGGCTGGTCTCAAACTTGTGAGTTCAAGTGATCTGCCTGCCTCGGCATCCCAAAGTGGGGCTATTCATCTTAATGACACCATTGAGTACAATCTCTGTGTACGTGGATGCGATAATTTGTGTAGCAGGATTTACCCTAAGGTTCTCAGGCAGAAAGGAAGCTCCCTTCTCAAAATGACAAAATGTAGAGTATTCTAATCTAGAGCTTCGTTTCATTCTGGCAGTTCTAGCCTAGGCCTGGCAGATGCTTCATTAATTTAGAAAGTTATTTTCAAAATATTTTTTAAATTCTGTTTTAAATTTATAGAAATATTATTTGTTCATTGTAAAATTCAAAAACTGTAAAAGTGCCTTCCCTCAATCCTCTTTTCCTTTTACCACTTGTTTAAGACATTGATTGATCGATTGACTGAGACAGGGTCTCACTCTTATGTCCAGGCTGGACTGCAGTGATGCGACTGTAGCTCACTGCAGCCTCAAACTCCCCAGCTTAAGCTATCTTCCCATCTTGGCTTACCAAAGCTCTGGGATTTAAAGTGTGAGCCACTGTGCCCAGCTGAGACAGTTTTAAAAAAATTGAGACGGGGGCTGGGCACGGTGGCTGACGCCTGTAATCCCAGCACTTTGGGAGGCCAAGGTGGGTGGATCACGAGGTCAGGAGATCAAGACCATCCTGGCTAACATGGTGAAACCCCATCTCTACTAAAAACACAAAAAATTAGCCAGGCGAGGTGGCGGGCGCCTGTAGTCCCAACTACTCGGGAGGCTGAGGCAGGAGAATGGCATGAATCCGGGAGGTGGAGGTTGCAGTGAGCCGAGATCGTGCCACTGCACTCCAGCCTGGGCGACAGAGCGAGACTCCATCTAAAAAAAAAAAAAAAAAATTGAGATGGGGGTGTGTTGCCCAGGCTGGTCTTGAATTCCTAGGCTCAAGTGATCCACCTGCCTCAGGCTCCCAAAGTGCTGGGATTACAGGTGTGAGCCACCAAATCTGGCCAGCTGAAACGTTTCAATACTATTCTATAACGTAGTCTGATAAAATCTGATATGCTTTTATACTAACTTGCAGAAAGTTAACAGTACATGTTGTAATTCTAGTATATCAAATACATAATAAAATTACCATTACTATATGAATGAACGAACCATTCATTAACATTAACAAATGAAGAATTGCATCTGATTATACAACTGAAACTTGGACTAAAACTAAAAACTAAATAACAAAAACTATGTTGCAGTATAATAATTACTTTTCAAAATTGAAGAGTTAAGGGCAAGGATGTTCTTGTGAAATTTCCAGATGATGATGATGATGATGACGACTGCATAAACAATCTCTATGAGAGAGATAAACTGTTCTTTTGAATCCAAAAGCATGCATCTTGGCCATTTAATATTAACTATTTGCATAAGTGGTGGCATATTAAAACAGCTCAGCTGTACAGCAGCTGCTTAACAGTATTGCATAGTTGATGCCAATAAATTGCTGAAAGTTGTAAACTCTGCAAAGATGTTGGCAAGGAGACACATAGATAGCATTTCTTGATGAAAATAGCTTTGACAAGCATAATGCAAACTATGTGCTCCACTGGTAAATGGAAGTGCTTTCATATGGGAGTAACAACGCATCGTGACTAGTAAGTCATATAACTCTGTGCATCTCTCTTGAAGTAACACAAGGTAAAAACCAGTCTTGTTTTAAACCAAATACATATATATTTTGGATATTTAAAATTAATTAATTAATTTATTTGAGATGGAGTCTCGCTCTGTCACTCAGGCTGGAGTGCAGTGGCATGATCTTGGCTCACTGCAACCTCCACCTCCCGGGTTCAAACGATTCTCCTACCTCAGTCTCCTGAGTAGCTGGGATTACAGGCATGTGCCACCACACCTGGCTAATTTTTGTGTTTTCAGTAGAGATGGGGTTTCACCAAGTTGGCCAGGCTGGTCTCAAACTCCTGACCTTGGGTGATCCACCCACCTTGGCCTTCCAAAGTGCTGGTATTACAGGTGTGAGCCACCATGCCCAGCTTTAAACTTCATTTAAAAGGTTTTTTTTTTTTTTTTTTGAGATGGAGAGATGGAGTCTTGCTCTGTCACACAGGCTGGAGTGTAGTGGCACGATCTTGGCTCACTGCAACCTCTGCCTCCCAAGTTCAAGCGATTCTCCTGCCTCAGCCTCCTGAGTAGCTGGGACTACAGGTGCACACCACCATACCTGGCTAATTTTTGTATTTTTAGTAGAGACGGGGTTTTCACCATGTTGGCCAGGCTGGTCTCGAACTCCTGGTCTCAGGTGATCCACCTGCCTCGGCCTCCCAAAGTGCTGGGATTACAGGCGTGAGCCACTGTACCTGGCATTTTTTTTTTTTTTTTTTTTTTTTGAGACAGAGTCTTGCTTTGTTGCCCAGGCTGGAATGCAGTGGTGCAATCTCAGCTCACTGCAACCTCTGTCTCCTGGGTTCAAATGATTCTCCTGCCTCAGCCTCCAGAGTAGCTGAGACTACAGGTGTGCACCACCACGCCCAGCTAATTTTTATATTTTTAGTGTACACGGAGTTTCACCATATTGGCCAGTCTGATCTCGAACTCCTGACCTCAAGTGATCCACCTGTGTCAGCCTCCCAAAGTGCTGAGATTACAGGCATGAGCCTCAGTGCCTGGTCGGGCATTTTTTAATAAAGCATTTTATGACGGAAATTTTCAATGACACAAAAATGGAGGGGATAGAATACTGAGTCCCCACTTTCCACTGCGCAACTTCAATTATCAACATTTTGTCAATATTTTCTTTCTCAAATAGCGTTCCTGAGATATAATTCACATACCACACAGTTCATCCATTTGAAGTGTATAATTCAATGGTTTTTAGTATATTCACAGACACATGCAACAATTACCAGTCAATTTTAAAATATTTCCATCATCTCAAAAGAAACAAAAAACAAAAACAAACCAAAACCTAAGAAACTCTGATTGCTTTAACTATACCCTCCTATCCTGCCATGCCCCCATCACTCTAATTCTAAGCTGTCACTAATCAATCTACTTTTTGTCCTTGTAGAATTCCCAGTTCTAGACAGTTCACATCAGTGGAATCATATACCGTCTGCTTTTTTTGTGACTGGCTTCTTTCACTTAGTATAATGTTTTTAAAGTTCATCCATGTTGTACCATCTATCAGTACTTCCTTCCTTTCATGGCAAAATCATATTCCACTGCATGGATATACCAAATTTTGTTTACTCATCAGCTGAAGGACATCTGGGTTATTTCCACTTTTTGGTTACTATGAATAATGTTGCACTCATAAACACTGACACATTTTGAAACAGTGAAAAGTTTTGTGTGTAAATTTTTGTGTGGATATGTTTCAATTTCTTTTGTTTATATACCTGGGCATAGAGCTGCTGGGTTGTATGTAACTCTATGTTTAACTGTTTGAGGAACTACCAGGATTGTTTTGTCAACACTGTTTTATCTATTTCCTTACCAGATTTTCCCCCTGATATATATTAACACATATTCCAGATCTCAGATAATTTCTTTTTCTTTTTTTTGAGATGGAGACTCACTCTGTCACCCAGGCTGGAGTGCAGTGGCATGATTTCCGCTCAGTGCAACCTTCCCCTCCTGGGTTCAAGTGATTCTCCTGCCTCAGCCTCCTGAGTACCTGGGATTACAAGGGTGTGCCACCACTTCTGGCTAATTTTTTGTATTTTTAGTAGAGACAGGGTTTCACCATGTTGGCCAGGTTGGTCTTGAACTCCTGACCTCAAGCAATCTGCCCGCCTCAGCCTCCCAAAGTGCTGGGATTATGGGTGTGAACCACTGTGCCCAGCCTCAGATAATTTCACTTGTAAATACTTCAGTGGGAATTTTTAACAGATAAAAATTTTTTAAAATAGCAAAATATCATTATCCTATTTAACATGATTAAAAATAGTTTAAAAGAAAATATAACTTTAATTCAAAGTCATCCATTCTACACTCTAAATGCTCAACAAGAATTTTAAACTACTATTAAAGCAAATATAATGTATTATTTTTAAAAAGTTACTTTGAATGCAATACCACTATACACTACATAAAGGACAAAACAGATTTTGTACTGCAAATTGTAGAATAGTATTAATATCTGCAACTGCAAACTGCTGTTATCTACAGCCCCTCGATCTCCCTATCTAGATACTTGCTTCCACTTGTAGGGTAACATCACCCTGGGATTGTCTCTTTGCCTCAAAAGAAGTATATACAAATTTTAGGTCTGGAGGGAGGAAGAGAGGGGACAGAAGTGAATGTTCACTGAGTATCTACAATGTACCAGGCTTTGTGCTGAGTATCTTACATAATAATTTAATTCACACTCAAATACCAAGAAGTAGATATTACTTTAATTTTGAAGAGAAGAAACTGAGGCTTCAAAGACTCAAGAAGGGCCAGGTGCGGTGGCTCATGCCTGTAATCTCAGCATTTTAGGAGGCAGAGGCGGGTGGATCACGAGGTCAAGAGATTGAGACCATCCTGGCCAGCATGGTGAAACCCCGTCTCTACTAAAAATACAAAAATTAGCCGGGCCTGGTGGCATGCGCCTGTAGTCCCAGTTACTTGGGAGGCTGAGGCAGGAGAATCACATAAACCCGGGGGGCGGAGGTTGCAGTGAGCCGAGATCACACCACTGCACTCCAGTCTGGCGACAGAGCGAGACTCTGCCTCAAAAAAAAAAAAAAAAAAAAAAATAAATAAATAAATAAATAAATTACAAAAAATAAAAAAAACTCAAGAAGGCCAGGCATGGTGGCTCATGCTTATAATCCCAGCACTTTGGGAGGCCAAGGCAGGTGGATTGCTTGAGTCCAGGAGTTTGAGACCAGCCTGGGCAACATAGCAAGACCCCTTCTCAAAAAAAAAAACAACAAAGGAAAATAAAAAAATTCTAAATAAAAATAAATAAATAAAAAGAAGGCTCAAGAAAATTAACCATGTTCATTTAGCTACTAAGAAGTGAAACAGCATTCAAATTAAGTAAGGCCTTTCTGGGGTCAAAGCTATCATTATACAATAATGCAGATGCCTTCCATCAATGTCTGTGATACACACAATTTCAGGTTTGGAAGAGATCTTCAAGTTATTTAGCCCAGTCTCTCTATACAATTAAGAAATCCCCTCTGACTATATGGCCACCTAGCCCAGGCTTTAAAAATGAAGACACATTAGGTATTAATCTAGGTTTTCCTTACTCAACTATAAAACCAAAACACTCCCGTTTCAAAAAGAAAAAAAAAAAAAAGTAGAACAACAAAACAGGATGTGTCTCCTCATAGCATCTAGCCTTTGGTTTAATTCTGGACTTTGGAGACATGTGTAACAAATCTCTTACTGCCTGTTTTACGTGCCTACTTTGAATTTCTTATCTTTCACTAAGTCTTATCTTCTCTAAACATCCCCAGTTTCATTCATCTCTCTTATGACTGAAAAGAATTCTTTCATCATCCTGTTTTCCTTACATTGAAAATTTTTGGGCCTAGAACAGAATAAAGAAAGAAGTACTGACTAGAGCAGAGCAGGTTTATCTACTTCTTATTCTAATACATTTAAGATGACAGAGGCCGGGCGCGGTGGCTCACGCCTGTAATCCCAGCACTTTGGGAGGCCGAGGCAGGTGGATCAGGAGGTCAGGAGATCGAGACCATCCTGGCTAACAAGGTGAAACCCTGTCTCTACTAAAAATACAAAAAAATTAGCCGGGCGCGGTGGCGGGCGCCTGTAGTCCCAGCTACTCGGGAGGCTGAGGCAGGAGAATGGCGTGAACCCGGGAAGCGGAGCTTGCAGTGAGCCGAGATTGCGCCACTGCAGTCCGCAGTCCGGCCTGGGCGACAGAGCGAGACTCTGTCTCAAAAAAAAAAAAAAAAAAAAAAAAAGATGACAGAAACATTTTTGGAGCTATACCCTATCTATGACTGAAGGCTTAGTGAGAGCTCATGCTTTTATACGAATGATAGCAAATGAGAGACAATTGGGCTGTTACAGCCTCCGGGACATAACTAATCACCTGAAACATTCTTTCACAATCATGGATATGATCTTAGGGTAATTCTCAACAGTGATCCAGATAAGAAGCTATTATTAACACACTGAAGTAGGTTCCTGAATTAAAATCTACTGCTATTGTTGACTTAAAACAGGAGTGTGGGAACCTTAATTCTATTCTGATTGGTTTGCTCAGACCCTTTTGTGCATCTCATTACTGATTACCCTGGACTTCTCACTACTTTCCCCACTCTGCTTTCTGACATTCATGTTTTCTTGATGCCTGGCTTTGTGACCAAGTGCAATTGCTTTCCCTTCTATTAACAGTAGTCATCTGGCTGCTGTCTAGTTTCTGGTCTTAACTTTTTCATCAAAATTTTTTTTTCCTTCTTTTTTGTTTTGTTTTTGAGATAGGGTCTCACTCTTGCCCAGGCTGGAGTGCAGTGGTGCAAGCACAGCTCACTACAGCCTTGAAGTCCCGGGGTCAAGTGGTCCTCCCACCTCAGCCTCCCATGAAGCTGGGACTATAGGCACGAGCCACCACATCTAGCTAATTATTTATTTTAAAAAATTTTTTTTTCTAGAGATGGAGTCTCATTATGTTGACCAGGCTAGTACACAACTCCTGGGCTCCAAGCAATCCTTCTGCCTCAGCCTCCCAAAGTCCTGGGATTATAGGTGTGACCCACTGTGCTGGACCCTGGCCTTTACTATTTCAGTAGTGTTTGATGGGTTTTGTTGCATATTCTTGTTGATTTTCAGCATCAACTTCAGACTTTAAACCCTATCCTCCACTTAGAGCACTGGTTTTCAGAGTATGACTCACTCCAGTGCCTGTACCTTCTCCATGTTGTATTCCAGCCTTCTCTTAGTGTCAGCTCCTTGATACGGGATCAGTGACTTAAGTTTACAACAAGATATTGCCAATATGGTGTCTAACAGAATTATGACTATAATTATCTCATATAATTGTTAATATTGTCTCCTGGCCACCAAATATTTTCTTTTTCTTTTTCTGTTTTTTGAGACGGAGTCTCACCCTGTTGCCCACGCTGGAGTGCAGTAGTGTGATCTTGGCTCACTGCACTGCAAGCTCTGCCTCCCGGGTTCAGCCATTCTCCTGCCTCAGCCTCCCAAGTAGCTGGGACTACAAGGCACCCGCCACCGCCCTGGCTTTTTTTTTTTTTTTTTTTTTTGTATTTTTAGTAGAGACAGGGTTTCACCGTGTTAGCCAGGATGGTCTTGATCTCCTGACCTCGTGATCCCCCTGCTTCGGCCTCCCGAAGTGTTGGGATTACAGGCGTGAGCCACTGCGCCCGGCCTGGCCACCAAATATTTTCAGAGATTATACAGTTTCAGAGATTTTACAGTTTTGTAGTTTTTTTTTGTGTGTGTGTCTCCTTATGTCTCAGAATTGTTTGGTTTGTTATAAGCTGCTACTATTCTAAGATAGTCATATAAGCACAGGGTTAGAAATGATAGCAAGAGAAGTCATTTACTTGCTCCTTACTGACAAAAAAAGGTCAGAGAAATGTACTTTTAATTTAACCGAAAACATATCACAAGCTTCTAAAATGCAGTGGGAAAATACACATTTCATTCTTAAAAAAAGAAACCTAAAAATTGCTAGGTCTATATGTTACATAATAGATGTGAAAATGTGATATAAAAAATTAAAAGGGTATATATGCACAGATAAAATATTTTTATGATGAGATATTAATATATTGGGTCACACAAGACTGAACTGACTTGTAGGATACAACAAAGATATTTATAATTTAAAAGAAGATAATGAAAAGATTAAAGAAGAAATCAAAATACTTACAAAAACCAAAACAATTTTGACATAGTTCTATTAGGTTCTATACAAGCCTATATAAACACAGTGGTCCAGAGAGTACAATCTAAAGGAAATTCAAATGTCTTTTACACAACTCAAAACTGAGGAGAATTAACATTTTACAGAATGAACAACTGTGATTCAGTTGTTGCCTCTGTGAAATGGGTGTAAGAATGAGCTGTTGTGAGGCTTAAATAAAATAAATGAATATAAAAAACTACAAGATAATATATCAATATTAAACACACTTATTATTTACTGAAAAGTATGTATTTTGGGTAAAAAGCCTAATTCCCTCTTGAATCCTAGAAAACATAAGCAAAAGGCCAATTCTCAGCAGAGAAGACTAATTTAAAACTTTTCCTTTCTCTGATTCCTCATTCCCAGATACACTTACTTGAAAGTAATTTGTAACTGGTTCCTAAGTAGGGTAGTATAACATAATTCATCTGAAAGCATTTTAGAGTTTGATAGAAAAAGATTATAAAAATTCAAGATATATTCTCACTGTTAATACAATAGCTTTAGCTTTCTCATAAAGTATGTGTGTAAATTCAACATTTGCAGTATTTTTTGCAACATTTTAGTCCCTAAATTTCTTCAGACCTGAAGTCACACACCCTTACATGGAAAAAAAAAATCTTTCTAAAACTTTATAGGGAAAATATGACTTGTATCATACATGTGTTTTTGGTTTTCACTATAATAATTATCTTTCTCTTTAAAAACACTCATTTATATCCAACAAATCGAAAACAGTTTAACTTGAAGAGCACCACTATGATGAGAAATGTATGTGTGAATCTGAGAAACAAGTATATTTTCATTTAAAGAAAAATTAATTTACCCGCTCAGTAGTTTTTTTTTAGCATGCTGACTGTAAAATTTAACTACATAGGTGCATAAGAAAAACATGTAAAAAGATACTCTTAAGAAAATTTCAAAACAGTTAAGTATGAACCGAAAGAGTGACACACATAAAGAAAAATGCAATTTGTTGGAACTTCTTATGAAGTGGATTGCCTAAGGGGCACTTGGGATGCTGAAATGTCCCTGAAATCTTCCGAGAAATCGCAAAGAACATATGAGTTAGAATCTGGGAACACAAACATACCATAAAAGAATGATAATTATACTGTGATTTCACTTTCAAGAAACCTGGCTAACTGCAGGGTTTGTTTTCTTTTCATTATCTGACATACACTGCTGTAAGAAGAAAGTTATCCAGGATAATAAGAATTAGTCCAATGTTCAGGTAAGTGTGGGGCCTTGTACATTCTAAGTACTTAGTAAGGAGTGGTTGATTAATTCTGGTTAAATACTAACTGAAATGACTGTGGGCCCTGAGAAGTGTTATTGGCAAAAACACTGCAATGAGAGGATAGAAGATATCCCAGGTCTCAGAAACAAATTTTTCTTTTTTCTTTGATACAGTCTCGCTCTGTTGCCCAGGCTGGAGTGCAGTGGTGCAATCATGACTCACTGCAGCCTTGACCTCCTGGGCTTAAAGGATCCTCCCACAACAGCCAACCGAGTAGCTGGTACTACAGGTTTGTGCCACCATGCTAGGGGTCTTGCTGTGTTGCCCAGGCTGGTCTCAAATTCCTAGACTCAAGTAATCCTCCCACCTTGGCCTCCCAAAGTGATGGGATCAGAGGCCTGAGCTACCCTGCCCAGCCAAAACAGATGTTTTATATTCCACAAATATATATGATTCTGTATAAGTGTGATAACCATAGAGGTTGCTGTGCCTACAACTACCATCTCCAAGGTTTTAGGAAGTAGCTCTCCTGTAGACAAACCTTTGGGATATGACTTCCTATGGCCTACTTTCAGTAGTATGTATCTAAAATTGTATGTAAAAGTAGTATGTAAGTAAAATTTCAGTAGTAGTATCTAAAATTGTCCTTGGATACAGGAGAGCTTCTGTGCTTTCTTCAGCTAAAATATTTCAGTATCAGAGTGACACTTATTTTTTGATGACAGTTTCTAAAGCTTTCTATTTGACAGCTTTATATTATTGAAGATTGAAAAGAACAATTAGTTTAAGAAACATCTGAATGAGTACTTATTATCTGCTAAATATTGTGCTAAAGGCTAAAGTACAAAAAGGAATTTGTCAATCTAATGGGTAAGACAGATGCTTAATTACATAGTAATATGAACATTAACAGAAATATTTAAAAAGTTATAGGAATGAGGTAGAAAAGGGTATGTTTTTCTTTGTTGAGGTAGGGAGGGCTTCAAAGGATAGATAATATTTTTTTATTTTTATTTTTTGTGTTTTTTTAGATAGGGTCTAGCTCTGTTACCCAGGCTGGACTGTAGTGGCACGATCACTGCTCACTGCAGCCTCAACCTCTCAGGCCCAAGCAATCCTCTCACCTCAGCTTCCTGAGAAGCTGGGACTACAGACATGTGCCACCATCCCTGGATAATTTTCATATTTTTTGTAGAGACAGTTTCACCATGTTGCCCAGGCTGATCTTGAACTCTTGAGCTCAAGCGATCTGCCTGCCTTGGCCTTCCTAAGTGCTGGGTACAGGTAGGAGCCACCGTGCCCAGTCTCAAATGATAGATAATATTTAAAAAGACCCTTGACACAGAAGGAAATGAGGAAAGGGAACTACATTCATTGAGTTCTGTTATATTCCAGGAACACTGCTATATTAATTCTCACAGAACCTTGCAAAGTAGATATTACCTTTATTTACAGATGAGATAACTGAGTTTAGAGGGGTGAAATTATTGTCTCAAAAATGCACTGCTATTAAGTAGCAGAGCTGGGATATGAATACAAGTCTTGTCTGTCTGACTGCTGGCTTTTTCCATAGTATTTCAAAATGTAGAAGATGTAAGGAATATAAAGGTAATGCCAGTCTTACAATTTAATGAGAGAGTTGAACATATTTATATGTACATATAGTAGAAAGTAGAATGTAATTCTGGATCAGTCTAGTTTCCATCTTCTATGTTTACACCTGGGGTGCTAAGTGCTGCTAAAGAAAAATTACACAGAATGGTACTACTATAAGTACATAACATTTCAACTTGGCAATTCTTTTATGTACATCATTCATTTATTACACAGCTACTTCAAAATTCATTTTTCTCAAAACACTGACTGTACCACATCTCTTTCTATTAGAAAACATCCATTAGATGGGAACTCTCTAAATACTTACCACTAAACCTATAAACTTACTTCTATTTTCACATAATTCTTTTTTCTATTCTTCAAAATGGAAAAGGTAACACTGGTGGTCTAAAGCTGATTCCCATGACTCTGCTATGGATCTCCTTTCCTATCACTTTTGCTCAATTGATTATCTCTTTCTTTTGTGTACTTTTAATGTCTATTTTGCTTCTTCCTGTCACCATTTAAATTGTGTAATCTCTAGCTTTGAGAGGCAAAAGCTTTTTTTTATTTTTATTTTATTTATTTATTTATTTTATTTTATTTTATTTTTTTTGAGACAGAGTCTTGCTCTGTCACCCAGGCTGGAGTGCAGTGGCATGATCTCAGTTCACTGCAACCTCCAACCTCCACCTCCTGGGTTCAAGTGATTCTCCTGCCGCAGGCTCCCGAGTAGCTGGGACTACGGGTGTCTGCCACCACGCCCGGCGAATTTTTGTGTTTTTAGTAGAGACAGGGTTTCACCATGTTGGCCAGGCTGGTCTCGAACTCCTGGCCTCAAGGGATCCACCCACTTCCGCCTCCCAAAGTGTTGGAATTACAAGCGTGAGCCACCGTGCCTGGCTCAGCAAAAGCTCTTGATCTCATGCCCCTTCCTCAATTGTCCTATCTTTTCTTCTTCAAATATTCTAAGGATTGCCTATTTTTCACTGGTATCTGCTTTTTAGCTCCAGCTCCATTGAAACTGCTTTAGCATCTTTTTCTTTTTCTTTTTTTTTTTTGGAGATAGGGCTCTGACTCTGTCACCCAGGGTGGAGTGCAGTGGTACTATCTTGGCTCACTGCAACCTCCACCTCCTGGGCTCAAGCAATTCTCCCAGATCCTCCCACCTCAGCCTCCCAAGTAGCTGGGACTACAGGTGCATGCCCCCAGGCCTGGCTAATTTATGTATCTTTTGTAGAGATGGGGTTTCGCCATGTTGGCCAGGCTGGTCTTGAACTCCTGAGCTCAAGTGATCTGTCTGCCTCAGCCTCCTCAAGTGCTGGGATTACAGGCATGAGCCACCGTGCCGGCCCTTTAGCATCTTATTAAATCCAAATGACTCTTTTTTAAAAATCTTTCTTTGGCCTGACCTCTTGAGAGCACGTCACTGCGTACAACTGGCTCTGTTATGAATGGTTCTCCCTGGGCTTTAGGGACTCTACTCTCTTCCTGATGCTCGTCACTGATGCTGGTCACTCTTCACTCTTCTTTGTGTAAGCACTTTTTCCTATGCCCTTCCCTTAAATGCTGGTACTCATTAAGATTCTGTCACAGGCCTTTTTCTGTTCTTACTCTATATAGTCTCACTAGTTCATTTACTCTATTTCCATGTAAAGTAACATCTTTATGTTGTGACTTTCAAATTTCTATTAACAGATGAATTCTCTTTCTTGGGCACAAGAACCTACATTTCCAACTCTCTAGTGTATATATCCACTTAGATATTTTCTTGAACTTTTCTTCCCCAAACCTCTTTCTTCTAGGTTCTTTGTAGCACCACTAAAGACACAAGCCAAAAACCTAGGCATCAATTCTCATCCCTCCTCTCTTCATCAGTCCCTAATGTACTCAAATCACCAAGGACCGTGATTATGCTTCTTAATTTTCTTTTTTCTTTTTTTGAGACAGAGTCTTGCTCTGTCGTTGCCAAGGCTGCAGTGCAGTGGCACAATCTCAGCTCACTGCAACCTTCGCCTCCCGGGTTCATGCCATTCTCCTGCCTCAGCCTCCCGAGTAGCTGGAACTACAGGCGCCCACCACCATGCCTGGCTAAATTTTTCTATTTTTAGTAGGGACAGGTTTCACTGTGTTAGCCAGGATGGTCTCGATCTCCTGATCTTGTGATCTGCCCGCCTCGGCCTCCGAAAGTGCTGGGATTACAGGCTTGAGCCACCACGCCCGGCCAATTATGCTTCTTAAATAGCTTTCAAATCGGTCCATTTTTGTTTCACCTCATCATCACCAATCTAGTTCAAGACACCACCTTCACTCACTGAAATACTGGAATAGCTTCCTAAGAGGTGTTCTTCCCACTGCCCTTCTACAGCTCCAAGAGCCATGAGAAAAGGGCTTCTACATCAGCTTCTAACGACTGAGCTCAGTATTCTATTAGGCATTTGGCTGATGAAAGATACTTTTCCTACTCTCAAAAGCTTATATTCTAAGGACACGTGGATAAAATATATACAAAGAAAAGCAGAATTAGAATTTCCAAAGGTGATCAGTAAATCTTGTTTCGTTAAGGCAAAGATGAGTGGATAAAAACAGATGAAAACTAAATGCAATTAATGACGATTACTGAGTGATAAGCTCAAGAAAGAAGCCATTTTAAGGAGTCACATTTCTCTTTTTCTAAAAGACAGTGTTGCTGTCACCCAAGCTGGAGGGCAGTGGTGTGATTATGATTCACTGCAGCCTTAACCTCCTGGGCTCAAGCTATCTTTCTGCTTCGACTTCCCCAGTAGCTGGGAACACAGATGTGCACCACCATGCCCAGCTAAATTTTGATTTTTTTGTGAAGATGAGGTCTTCCTAGGTTGTCCAGGCTGGTGCTGAACACCTAGCCTCAAGCGTTCCTCCCACCTTGGCCTTTTTGAGTGCTGGGATTACAAGTGTGAACCACTGCATCGGGCCTGAAATCACATTTCTTATACTCAAATCTTTTCAAAATGAATGTTTTATTTGAAGTCCTGCTACTGTTATCTAAAAGTGAGTTCCTATCAGTTTATCTTTTCCTTTTACCTCTTTTCAATATCTAATTATTTAGGTTTATATTTTATTTACACCTAAGAGGTCTTAATCCGAGTACAAGTGAAGACATTTTAGAGTAAGATAGATTACAACCCACCTGAAGGAAACAGATAAAGTTATTCTGAGGTATCAAAAGTGAAAGAGGAAAAAAAAGATTATAACACCTGGATAAGATATTCAGCTCTGAGTTTTCTGGCAATGAAGACAAAAAGGAAACACATTAAATTACAAAGTTTTCATTTTATGAAAAAAAGAAAGAGGAATATAACTTCACGCCCAGAGGCAAAAATTTTCCTGGAATATACGCAATAATTCATCATGAGTTTTTTTCTGTCTAAATGAGACTAAGGAAAAAGAACCTTAGTTTTGTTTCAGGGAAAAAATGAATTACTTTTAGTTTTGACTACGTAATCACAGTTGAGTTATTTAACTCTTATCAGCATCAGTTTCATCTCTAACAATGAGGACAATGATATTTATCAGTGGACTGTAGTAAAGATTAGATTATGTCATTTATGTGGATGTACTTAGTAGACTGCCTTAGTTTTACAAAACCAAGAGAGATCACACTTTGTTTTGATCTTCTACAAAAGCAGAAGGCATGACATTAAACTGTTCTTTAATAAAATAAATTCTGTGAGGAGAGATATTTTGCCCTTTCCCCCTCTGCTTTATGAACATTTTACTGAATATAGGGACAAAACCTGGAGAATTTAGAATGGAGAAGTGTGGGCAGGTATAAGCTCTCAATTCAATTTATGCACATTTTTAAGTTAGTATTTGTTGTGTAAATCCTTTAACCTAATATATTTACCCAACCCAGTTGAGCTTTGTAGTCTGAAAAGTCAACCTAAAATATCCTATTTCTCTCTACGGCCACCTGCTCTTCACGTTATATCATTCTGAAATTAGTTGTTGAATATATTTTCTCGCAAAAAAAGTTAGGACTAAACATCACCTAATATTCCACTCATAGTTCAAGAAATACTCAATTGTAAGAGATCAATACACATTCCTGGAAATTGTCACACCACACCCTAACTCTTAACATGAGAGAAGATACTTTTAAGCTAATATTTTTGAGCTAACACTAATATAGAAAATAAAAACTCTCTGTGGTCATGCCCCAAATGTTTCTGAATTGTCAACCTAGAATTGTCCTACTTGCTTTTTCTGTTTAACACATATTTTGGAATTATGTAAATGAACTGGTGATCTTACTTCACATTACATGAACACATACAGCCTAATCAGAACTAAGTGACACTGCTAAAAAAAGTTAGAGCTAGGCTGGGTGCAGTGGCTCATGCCTGTAATCCCAGCACTTTGGGAGGCTGAGGCAGGTGGATTGCCTGAGGTCAGGAGTTTGAGACCAGTCTAGCCAACGTGGTGAAACCCCATCTCTACTAAAAATACAAAAAAATTAGCCAGGTGTGGTGGCATGCGCCTGTTAATCCCAGCTACTTGGGGGGCTGAGGCAGGGGAATTGCTTGAACCAGGGAGGTGGAGGTTGCGCTGAGCCGAAATAGCGCCACTGCACTCCAGCCTGGGTGACAGAGCAAGACTCCATCTCAAAACAAAACAAGACAAAACAAAACAAAACAAAACAAAACAACACAACATTAAAGCAAGAGCTGTCCAATGCAAAAAAGAAAATAAGAAACTTTAAAAAGTTCATTTGGTCTCTTTTTGAATCACTCATTTACACTGTCCAAATTTAACTGATTAAAACCAGACTGGTATCAGATAATTTTCCCAGGGTATTGACCAGGGTGAGACAAGCTAGCGGCCTTAGGTAAAGAAGCAGTGGCTCCCAGGGGCCGTCCATGTTCTTTGCCCACTCTGAGAGTAGGCACCTCCTTACATCATGTGTCCTAGATGCCTTGCTTGCCTCACCCTAGTCCCAGCCCTGATTTTCATTTTCAAAAAAAAATCAGAATTATTCTTAACCAATGTTATCTATTGACTATTATGAGGACATGATCCTCTGAACAATCAAGTGAATAAATCAATCCTGTTTCATCAGGTAAATGTTCAAGTGAATGGCCAAGCATTTCTAGGGGGTCACACCAGCTGTTTTCTTTCCATATATGCAATTTGCGGAGGCCTTTGCATGTGTATATATGATGTAAGTTGGTAGTAAATGGTTTCTTAGAAAATGATTAATAACATTAGATTTGTTTTACTAAGCTTTAATTTTTACTTTGCTTTAAAACAAAAAAAGTTGCTTTTCTTTAGATGTTTGGTATCATCAAAAGCTATACAATGTTAAATTATTAAAACATACTTGCCAAAATAAAGATATACTGTCAAATACATAAAAACTGACAATTATCTAAATATGCATCCATACAAATACCAGTAATAACATGTAGTAGTAGGCAATTAATGAGTAGTTTCATCTTGCTAGTGTTTAAATTTCTCCCTCCTTCCCTCCCCTCCTTCGCTTCCTTTCTTCCTTCTTCTTCTTCCTCTCCTTCCCTCTAACCCTCCCTCCCTCTTTCTCTTTCTTTCTTTTTTAAAAGATAGGGTTGCACTACATTGCTCAGGCTGGAGTGCAGTGGCTATTCACAGGTGAGATCAGAGTGCACTATAGTCTCAAACTCCTGTGCTCAAGTGATCCTCCTGCCTTAGCCTCCAGAGTACCTGGGACTACAGGTGTGTGACACTGTGCCCAGCTCTGCTAGAATTTAATTTGCATGCTTAAACGTATTTTCTTCTCAATCCACCACGCAAAGTTTTTTGGTTTTTATTTGGACTCATGAGTAATGTGATTCCAAGTGTTGGAACTGCTCATATATTTTTCAGTGTAGCACATCCCCTTAAAATCAAATGAGAATTGCCATTCTGAAAAAAAAATTAATATCTAGCTTTAAAAAAATGTAGTTGATATGGCTGAATGGTCATCTGTAGTTACTACTCTTAAATATTTAATTTCAAAAACACTTGCGAAAATTCCACATAGTGAATGAATCAGGTTTCCACAGTGAAGAAACAATTACTTGAAAGCAGAATCCTAGGACATAAGTGACAGCAGCGGTGATGGATAAGGTCTAGAATGTCCGAACTCAGAAGAAAGAATAAATATCTTCAGAGAAGCTTTTCCTAGCTCTGTAACCTGTTGTTAGATTGACTTACCTTCCTAAATGTTATCATTACAATCTAGTCCTGGGACACTTTCTCATCCTTTTCACCCATCACATAGAAGACACCTTTAAGAGAACTCACTCCAATGCCATTTCTCAGATACAGACAATCCTCCAATTCTTCTGACACCATCTCTAGGATACGTACCTTTGAACTGCTTCCAGTAATAGTTTCCAGTTCCCCTCTCTCAACAATATTCTCCCAATAATTTCTTCCCAACATCTGGTATACCTCTCCCAGACTAGTATCAGGATACTCATAAACCAATGATATGTTTTAAATGTTTTGTTTTCTGGTCGGGCGCGGTGGCTCACACCTGTAATCCCAGCACTTTGAGGATTGAGGCGGGCAGATCACTTGAGGTCAGGAGTTTAAGATCAGCCTGGCCAACCATGCCGAAACCCAGTCTCTATTAAAAACACAAAAGTTAGATGGCATGGTGGCATGCACCTGTAATCCCGGGTACTCAGGAGGTTAAGCCAAGAGATTCGCTTGAACTCGGAAGGCAGAGGTTGCCGTGAGCCGAGATCATGCCACTGCACTCCAGCCTGGGTGACAGAGCAAGATCCTGTCTCCAAAAAAAAAAAAAAAAAAGTTTCTTTTTCTATTAGAATAACAAAATGGTAAAAAGATGGCTAAGATGAGGCAGTGATAGTTCAGTAGAAAAAAGGCTTTGTGTTAAAAATACCAATGGTTGGTGACGATGCAGAGAAACTGGAACTCTCATTCATCGTAGAGGGGGAATGCAAAAGTATAGTAACTTTGGAAAATTTTGACAGTTGCTTATAAACTTAAACATACACCTGCCATACAATGCAGTAATCATGTTCCTGGGTATTTACCCAAGAGAAATGGAAACTTTTGTTTATATTAAAATGTGTACATTAATTGTTTACAGATATTTTATTCGGAGATGTCCTCAAATGGAAACAACTCAAATGTCCATAAACTGTGAATGAATTAACAAACTGGGTTACATCCATATAATGGCTTATTACTCAGCAATAAAAAGGAAACATATGACTAATGTAGATGTATGTACAGGCTCACACCTGTAATCCCAGCACTTTGGGAGGCTGATGCAGGCGGATCACTTGAGGTCAATATATTATACATCTGTATTGCAACAATATATATGAATTGCAAATGTATTATTGTAACTGAGAAAAGCCAGACTCAAAAGGCTATATACTGATAATTTCACTTTTATAGCATTTTGTAAAAGGTAAACAATAGTTACAGAAAATACACCCGTGGTTGATAGGGCTGGGGGTTGAGGAAAAGGGTCAGCTAAAAAGGGGTAATGAGGGAATTTTGTGGAGTAATAGAACTATTCTATATATTGATTGTGGTGGTGCTGACACAACTGTGTGCATTTGTCAAAAATCACAGACATGTCTGCTAAAAAAGGTTAATTTTATTCTTTGTAGATTATAACTCAATAAACCTTAAAGGAAAAAAACAAAACAAAACAGAACTTATCTCTTAGTTACTAACTGCCATGGGCAAGCCACTTAAAACTCATTTCTCCATCTATAAAATAGGAATTATATTTACTCTAAAAGAATTTTGGTAGGGAACAAATGAAGAAAAGAAAATAATTTTATGAACTTTAAAGCTCAACACAAATTATCTACACTACAGGCACTGGGCATACATTGATAAAGAAGACGAGAGGCACACTAAGGAAATTAACTGTCTAGTTGCAGAATAAGATAAAACAGATTATTATTAAATAATATGGGGAAATTCAGTGACAGATATCAACACAACAAGAAGGGGTTATTCTAGGAATAAGAATTAACTCTAAGAAGTATATCAAAAGTTGAATAAAAAAGGACAAAATTACAGTGAGACATAAATAAGAGAAGTCATTAATGAACATGCACAACTGGGATCCAATAATTTTAACCTGATAGCAGTTTTTAAAAAAGCCTAAAATGATTACAATTATGACAAAATAGGAAAAATACCTCACGATGATTTAGAAGTTGTTCTAAATCTAATGCCATTTGATTCTTCGTCTGTAGTAAAGCTGACTTTTCTTTATTTAAGTTGCTGAAAAAAAAAACCCCAGTTTTAAAAAGTCATTATGTTAGTATAAATATAGTTAATAAATGGTAAATATTAAAAGAATAAACATGAATCTGATGGTTTGAACTAAAGATAAATTTATAGTCCATAAATATTCCAGACCAGCCACTAAAATGTTTGGCCCAATGAATGGCCTATTTTGTCAGAAGATCTTTTTCTTTTCTTTTCCTTTCTTTTTTCTTTTCTTTCTTCCCTCTCCTCTTTTCTTTTCCTTTCTTTTTTCTTTTCTTTCTTCCCTCTCCTCTTTTCTTTCTCTTTCTCTTTTTTTTAAAGAGATGGAGTCTTGCTGTGTTGCCCAGGCTGGAGTGCAGTGGCTACTCACAGACATGGTAACAATGAACTACAGCCTCAAACTCCTGGGCTCAAGCAATCTTCCTGCTTCAGTCTCCTAAGTATCTGGGACTACAGGCATACATCACTGCACCCAGCTTTTCTTCTCTTAAGAATCCATTTGACAACGTAACTGAGATGCTGTCTGAGAATAATTTCCTGCCTAGTATAGGCATAAAATTAATGTTTTAAAGATGACTATTTACTACTAAAATGTAAAAAGATAAAGAAACTCACATAAAAGGTAAGAAGTACTATGTCAGCAAACTATTACAACACAAGATACTAGAAGACAAATTAAAACATCCTTAAAACTGAAAGTAATATTTTACAAACTAAATTATCAGGTATATAATTGAGTTAAGTAAGTGAATCAGGTATTTAGTCTGTGATAAACTTGAAAAAAGAACGTTTGTCTCCAAATTATTAGTTTGATTTTCAATTTCTGGCCTGGCATGGTGGCAATTATCTAATGAATGATTACAATAAAAAAGACAAAATTTGTGAGGGTAAAACTAACAAGAATTGTTTTAAATAGGTAAAAACATTTTTTTTTTTTTTGAGACGGAGTCTCGCTCTGTCACCCAGGCTGGAGTGCAGTGGCGCGATCTCGGCTCACTGCAACCTCTGCCTCCTGGGTTCAACTCATTTTTCTGCCTCAGCTGTCTGAGTGGCTGGGACTACAGGTGTGTGCCACCATGCCCGGCTAATTTTTGTATTTTTAGTAGAGATGGGGTTTCACCATGCTGGCCAGGCTGGTCTCGAATTCCTGACCTCACGTGATCTGCCCACCTCGGCCTCCCGAAGTGCTGGGATTATAGGCGTGAGCCACCGCACCTGGCCGGTAAAAACATTTTTAAAGTTCTACTTAAGTTCTACTTTAAGAAAATGGAGGCAGGGCACACTGGCTCATGCCTGTAATCCTAGCACTTTGGGAGATCGAGGTTGGAGAACTGCATGAGCCCAGGAGTTCGAGCCTAGTCTGGGCAACACAGAGAGACCCCCATCTCTTAAAAAAAAAATGTTAGCCAGGTGTGGAGACATGCACCTTTAGTCCCAGCTACATCAAAGCATGAGGTAGGAGGATCGCTCGAGCCCAGGAGTTTGAGGCTGCAGTGAGCTATGATGCTCCACTGTATTCCAGCCTGGGAGACAGAGTGAGGCTCTCTCAAAAAATAAATAAATAAATAAATAAATAAATAAATAAATAAATAAATAAATGAAAGCCACTAATCTTTAGAATAATATTTGGCAGACTTTTTTTTTTTTTTAATTCAAGAAACAGTAGTAGGCAATCTGCAGCAACTGCTAATTCAAAGGACTTAAGAGGGAAAGCCCACATTCTTCTCCTTCCAAGTAATCGAGAAGGAAGCATCATAGTTTGTCCTCTGAGGAGACGGACTAGATGCAATTTTGACTTCTGTTCCCAACTGTGCCACTGACTCAGACTCAAATGTGTGCTGTAAAGCATAACACATACCACCCCACTGAACCTCAGTTTTTATATCTGTAAAAGTAGAACATAATACTCATGTATGTCAAAGGACTATGTGAATGATTATATAAAGTGTTGAACTCATAAAACTATATAAATGTTATACAGTGTTACTAATTTAGATAAAAAAATAGGCATCAGAGTAAAACAGTAATTAAATGCCAATAAAGGTAAGCAGCTCAGCTGAAAAACAAACTGACTTTTAGAGTTAGGCGCCAGAGATCCCACAAGAGCTGAGGAGTTGAAAAGAACAAAACAGTATAAAGGAAACTGAGTGCCATGTTCTGCTAGAGTCTCCAAAGCATGGTAAGGATCACATGTTTCTCTAACTCTAGAATTCTAACCACCTCTTTAGCTGGAATCACTTTGAAGGCAAAATATTTTTCAAATTTAAATATCCAGTAAATAGGACTAGGAACTTTTAAGGAACATGTATGTGTCTATGTTCATATACATGTATACACTTATAACCACGGTATATAAGCATATACTCACATTCAGTGCATACACACACACACACACATACACACACACACACACACACTCACTCTCTGTTTCAAATACCAACTGGCTCTTCTAAAGAATATGTAGTGTAATCGGAATGGAATGTCGAGGTAATTAAAGGATTTTGACTGGATAATTCTTCACAAATGCTTTTATATTGTCGTGTTTTAACTTTTCAAAAATAAAGTATTCTATAATTAAATAGCAAAACAACCGTATATACATGGAATAAATGGTGGGGGGATAAACTGGCTTACAGAACAATTATGTTGCACCTGTAAGACATGAGTTTATTACAAACAATGTGGACTTCCCAGACAATATTGCTGTGATTACAATATCTGGGCATATATTTTGTCTTCTTTATAATATACTCGAACCACAGGGAGACAACCTTTAACATGTGGGTCTCTAAAACTGAATATGATGATTATTATATTCACTCTTCTTCTAGTATGTATTTACTCAATAGAATTTTAGTCTTCATAAGACATATTTCATAACAGTGGAAACTTACCTTTGAAAATACAAAGCTTCTATGAGTGACTCATAAAACAACTACAAAACAAATCTCCTTGTAAGCACATCTATCTTGAATGGTATATTACACCCATAATTGTTAAATTCACTGTTAATTATTACTTAGAAATTCATGTTTATGGCTCTGTTTCACCTGCAATACGAAAACATTCCTGATATATTGTTCCTTAACTTCCTGGATCAATACACTCTGGGATAGCTTTGTAAGGGAAGTTGGCAATGTAGTCTTATCTTTAACTACCAGTTAAGAATAAACTGAGAACTGACAACAGGCAAAGAAAATTATGCTAATTATTCTCTTTCCAAGCTTCCTTCCTTTCTGAAGTAGAGATCAAACTGTATTACACAGAGTGTCTCTTGTGGCTTGGTGGAAGAAAGTTAACAGTACTATTTTTATAATAAAGTATTACTTTAATGATAGGAGAATTTAAAGCAGTTAATAGTGACATCTCAAATGTTAGCTTTTAATGTGTTTATGATGATTTCATTTTAGTGAATATTTACTCTAGCCTTTCTAGAAATTGAATATATTGTATAAATAGTTGATTTTCAAGGGGTAAGTATGGTATAGTGGTATTGTTTAATTTTCTAAGAAAAGCATACAATTATTCAGTTCTTCAAAGAGTTTTTATTGAATTAGAAAAACATTTAAAAATCATCAATTGATGTAAATATTTTTACAACTAACATCAACACCTAGCAATGAGGAATAGGAATTTTCCTGTTTATGTTTTCTAAGGAACATAATAACTTGATAACGCTTTTGGATGGGCCATCATTAATGTTTAAATTTCAAATAAAAGACAAGGGGAGGGAAGTAACATTTACTGAGATTCTCCTACATGCCAAAGCTTTATATATGCCCCTAAATTTAATTTTCACAACTACCCCTTCGGGTTCATATTAATATCTAATTTTACAGACACATTTACCATAAGGAGAGAAACCAGCCTGATGTGTATTTAAAGCCCAGGATAATTCCACTCTAGGATTTGAAATGCCATTTGCTTCGAGTAGGGATGAAGGAATGTGGGTATACAGAACTGTGATCTATCCTACCATATCTGAATTACTGGCTGAGCTGACTTTTTAATGGCATTGTTACATCACAGCATTTCATTCATGTCACCAGGGTACACCTATAGCAACATCTCAAGTGTTGTAATTAAACTACTGAAAGTATTAATAACTTTTCACTTTAGAAGGTAGTTGCTTCAATTAAGAATAAGATTTCATATCCTGTGAATTATCAGTTCAGAATGTACTAAAATATCACACAATTAATTTATGAAACACAAGACAACATTAAAGGACTCATGTTTAGTACAAAATTTTTCTTGGTAATTAATTCCATAAATGACATGGCCTTTATGAAAACCGTTGCTGTTATTAAGGGAGTCTTAATTTTTGTTGAAATTCAACATATTTTGAGAAATGTTATTTCTCATTTTTAATATAATTTTCAACCAAAAATTTGTTACATGTATGGTAAGTACTAAGAATGGCAAACATTTATTGAACACTGTTGAATATAATGTTTAGGCACTATTATATCTGTGTATATTATGAAGATTATATCATTTATTCCTCAGAACAACCCTATCAATCGGGTGCTGTTAGGACCACTCTCATTATTTTTATTTTTATTTTTTTTTTGAGACAGAGTTTTGCTTTGTCACCCAGGCTGGAGTGCAGTTGCTCATTGCAACCTCCACCTCCCAGGCTCAACTCATCCTCCCACCTCAGCCTCCTGAGTAGCCAGGACTACAGAAGCGTGCCATCACACTGGCAAATTTTTCTGTATTTTTTGTAGAGACAAAACCAAACATGGTTTTGCCATGTTGTCCAGGCTGGTCTCGAACTCCTGGGCTCAGGCAATCTGTCTGCCTCGGCACCACTCTCATTTCACATATGAGGAAACTGGCTGTACTGTGCAATACCACAGCCATTGGCCACTAGGGCAATTAAAATTATCTTTAATTTTAATAAAATTAAAAATAAAATTAAAGATAATTTAAACAATTTAATTTTAATAGAATTAAAAATTTAGTTCCTCAGTAACAGTAGCCACATTTCAAATGCTCAGGTTGGGTGTGGTGGCTCATGCCTGTAATCCCAGCACTTTGGGAGGCCAAGGCCAGCGGATCATTTGAGGTCAGGAGTTCAAGAACACCCTGGCTAACAGGGTGAAACCTCATCTTTACTAAAAACACAAAAATTAGCCGGCTGTGGTGGTGGGTGCTTGTTATCCCAGCTACTCGGGAGGCTGAGACAGGAGAATCGCTTGAACCTGGGAGGTGGAGGTTGCAGTGAGCCGAGATCGCGCCATTGCACTCCAGTCTGGGTGACAAGAGTGAAACTCCGTCTCAAAGAAAAGAAAAGAAAAAAAAGAACAACAACAACAACAACAACAAAACCCCAAAACAAATGCTCAACATCTATATGTGGCTAGCTAGTGGCTACCATACTGGACAGCACTGATGTAGAATTTTTCTTTTTTTGGAGACGGAGTCTGGCTCTGTCGCCCAGGTTGGAGTGCAGTGGCGCAATCTCGGCTCACTGCAAGCTCTGCCTCCCAGGTTCACGCCATTCTCCTGCCTCAGCCTCCCGAGTAGCTGGGACTACAGGCGCCCGCCACTACGCCCGGCTAATTTTTGTATTTTTAGTAGAGACAGGGTTTCACCGTGTTAGCCAGGATGGTCTCGATCTCCTGACCTCGTGATCCGCCCGCCTCGGCCTCCCAAAGTGCTGGGATTACAGACTTGAGCTACCGTGCCCAGCCAGATATGGAATATTTTTATCATTATAGAAAGTTCTATTGGACAACAGAGGTATTAGAGAGTTTAAATTACTTGCCCTAACTCAAAACTAAGTACTGAGTTGAATTTGAAAACTTCCTTTTAAAATCTGTTTTTTAAAAAATTTTATTATAGAATATTTCAGAAGAGAAAATATGTAATAGCAAACCCTGATATATCTATCACCCCGCTTCAACAACGATCAACTCATTAAAGTGCTACTTTTAATCACTATGATACACTACTTTTTTGTTCTCTTCCTTAATTATTTTAGCTAAAGAAATATTATCCCTTATTCAGAATAGAACATAGAGGGGCAGTATAACCTAATGGTTAGGAGAATAGAATTAGCAAGCAGACAGATATAAAATTGAATTCTTACTCTATCACAATGTTGCATGTTCTTAGAGGACAAGTTGCTTAATTTCTCTATGGCTGAATTTGTTCATCTTTATAATTTTCTCCTACAGCTAGCTATTATTTTCTCTATATTAAACATTTTAAGCTACCTTAATTCTTAGTAAAATAAATAATCAAATAAATTTGTTTGGAGATAACTGTGAAAGGAGTAATTTTTTTCCTCAGGATTTTTATATACCTCCTCATCACAAGAAATAATGGTAAAATAAGACATATAAAAGATTCAAATTTTAAGGCCGGGCATGGTGTCTCATGCCTTTAATCCTAGCACTTCGGGAGGCCGAGGAGGGCAGATCATGAGGTCAGGAGTTCAAGACCAGCCTGACCAACATGGTGAAACCCTGTCTCCACTAAAAATACAAAAATTAGCTGGGCGTGGCAGCGTGTGCCTGTAATCCTAGCTACTCAGGAGGCTGAGGCAGGAGAATCACTTGAACCCGGGAGGCAGAGGTTATAGTGAGCAGAGATCACATCATTGCACTCCAGCCTGGGTGACAGTGAGACTCCGTTTCAAAAAAAAAAAAAAGATTCAAAATTTAATTTTAATTTTAATTTTTTTGAGACAGAGTCTCACTCTGTTGCCCAAGCTGGAGTGCAGTGAAATGATCTCAGCTCACTGCAACCTCCGTCTCCCCGGTTCAAGCGATTCTCCTGTCTCAGCCTCCAGAGTGGCTGGGACTACAGGCATGCATCACCATGCTCAGCTAACTTTTGTATTTGTAGTCGAGACAGGGTTTCACTATGTTGGCCAGGCTGGTCTAGAATTCCTGACCTCAGGTGATCTGCCTGCCTCAGCCTCCCAAAGTGCTGGGATTACAGGTGTGAGCCACTGCGCCTGGCCAAAAAATATTCAAATTTAACAGAAATATGTAACATAGGAGGAAAAAATTCTATTTGGGGTTCTTTCTTCAATTTCCCTAAGATAATCAGGTGCCCAGTGAATTGTGAAAGACATAATTTCTATTGTCCCCAAGAACTATTTATAGAACAATTAATTTATTATTGTAGGTTGTATACAGAATTTTTAACTTTAAAATTAATCTAGAAACAAACTTATTTATTTTGACACATTTAAGGTATAAATGTGCTCCTAAATTATTTAAACAAATCATAAAAAATTAAGAACAGGAATAAAGTTCTAGACCAATTATTTTGGTGGGGTAGAAATGAAAGAAGGTAATTACTGTGATTCATTAAAAATAACATTTATACTTTGGAATTAGTTACCAATAGGTTTATATTTTTGTTTGCATACTTTAAGAAACCTGGATTTAACAACCATCTTCTCCTTATTGTTTTCCAATTCCTTGATTTAACCATTTCTATTCCCACTTAATTCTCTGCTTTTACATTGATAATCAGTTAATAATTTACCCATAAAAATCTAAATTATTCTTATAATCTTGGAAATCTAGTAACTAAGCAAACTAACCATCTATCCACAAGTAAAACTGTTTCATTTACACATATCTTCATTCTTTAATTTCAGTTTAAAAAACCAAACTGGTCATAGCAAATTTTTTTTGGATAAGATCTCATACAGAAACAATTACAAATTAAGGAAGTGAAAGAAATTTATTTATTTACACTTAAAAGTTACTTTCATGTAAAAGGTCAGAAGAAAAGCCTAAAAATTCCTTGGAAAAATCAACATAAATCTAAGTAAATGTAAATTTTTTGTTGTTGTTGTTTAAAAAGCCATTTTAACGACACAAATGGCATCTGGTTTTATTCCTCCTCTCCCTCTGGTCAATCTACACCACACTAAAGAGTTCTAGGGAAACAAGGACCAATAGCGGTTGTGTCCTCTAGGATAGATGGAATGTTATGCTCATAAGTGTAACATTGTTATTTCCATGCTAAGACATCTGATCACAGGTGGAATGTGAACACCTGATGTGATGTGACCTTAGTTTTTCTAAGAAAAGTTTAATATTCATTACATTTAAGACACCTTCATTATTTAAATTTTCTGTTCATGATTTACAACCCAAATTCACCTACAGCAGCAATATGGTAACAATGTCTTTATTATTCAAATAAAAGATTTGTAGATGGTTTACCTGACATCTTTCTCAAGTTGTGCAATAGATTCCGTCAGTGAATCAATCTTAGAATCTCTCTGACGCACTGATTCAATGAGATACCTGTAAGGCTGTTGAGTCTGGTTTAATAGCGAATTGGCTCTGTCAAGCTAAAGAAACACAGGTTTCATTAAAATCTAGAAAATGTGACAACAAAATAAAATCATTCAAAATGCTCTAGCACAAATATAGTACAGAAATTCCTTTGACATGAATTATTCTGAAAAGCTTTTCCTGTGTAAATTTGAAGGTTTTAAGAGTGAATCAATATAGCTATTCTTAATAGCAACTATAAACAATAATTTTTTTTGTTTTCTTTTTTTTGAGACAGTCTCGCTCTGTCGCCCAGGCTAGAGTGCAGTGGCGCGATCTCGGCTCACTGCAACCTCCGCCTTCCAGGTTCAAGTGATTCTCCTGCCTCAGCTTTCCGAGTAGCTGGGATTACAGGTGCCTGCTACCATGCCCCACTAATTTTTGTAATTTTAGTAGAGATGGGGTTTCAGCATGTTGGCCAGGCTGGTCTTGAACTCCTGACCTCAGGTGATCGCCCACCTCAGCCTCCCAAAGTGCGGGGACTACGGGTGTGAGCCACCTCGCCTGGCTGAAAAAATTTTAAATAAAATATTAATAGCAATTTTGAGAATGCATAAACTTAAATTTTCTTAGTATTTGTCTTGGTCTGAAAAGCTATATGACATAAAATATATCTTTTTAAAATGGAAACACTTAGCTAAAAGTTAAACTCTTTTATTTCAGCTTTACTTCTACTAAAAATATTCACACCATAATTCAATAATTTTTTCATTTCTTCATATTCCCTTGTTTTAAAAATACATAATTTATATATCCAAATCATTATGTATAAATTTTTGACAAATGTGTTTTAAAATATAATGTAAAATTTACCATTTTAATCATGTGAAAAGTGTACAATTCAGTGGCATTAAGTACATTCATAATGTTGAATAGCTACCACTTCTATTTCCAGAACACTTCCATCAGCCCATATGGAAACTCTGTACCCATTAAACAAAAACTCCCCATTTTCTCC
The DNA here is from genome assembly GCF_000001405.40 of Homo sapiens. Taxonomy (NCBI): domain Eukaryota; kingdom Metazoa; phylum Chordata; class Mammalia; order Primates; family Hominidae; genus Homo; species Homo sapiens. The sequence goes on along the minus strand of NC_000013.11, from coordinate 72,964,332 downwards.
TCCCTCCTGGCCCTAGAAACCTGTATCTTACTTTCTGTCTCTGTGAATTTGCCTATTCCAGATACCTCACATAAGTGGAATAACACAATATTTGTCCTTTGCTGTCTGCTTATTTCACTTAGTGTGACGTTTTCAAAGTTCATCTATGTTGTATCATGTATCAGAACTTCATTCCTTTTAATGGTAAATAATAGTCCACTGTATGTTTATAGTACATTTTGTTTATCCATTGATCTCTTGATGAATACTTGGGTTTCCACTGTTTGGCTATTGTGAATAATGCTGCTATGAACATTGGTGGACAAATACTGTATATCTTGAGTTCTTGTTTCACTTCTGTTGGGTAGCTACCTAGAAGTGGAGTAGAACTGTTAGGTCATATGGTAATTCTATATTTAACTTTTTGAGGAACTGCAACGGTTCCACAGTGGTGATACCATTTTACATTCCTACCAGCAAGAAATTTGATTACAATTTCTCCACATCCTGGCCAAAGCACATTATTTCATGTGCATACTGGGCATTTGTATATCTTCTTTGGAGAGAAGTCTTCCCAAGTCTTTTGCTTGTATTTTAATTGTGATTTTTCTTGTTGTTGTTGCTGAGTTGTAGGAGTTCTCTATATATTCTTAATAATATAGTCTTATTAGATATGTAATTTGCAAATATTTTCTTCCATTTTGTGGGTTGTCTTTTCACTTTCTTGATAATCTTATTTATTTACTTACTTACTTATTTTGAGATGGAGTCTTGCTCTGTCACCCAGGCTGGAGTGCAGTGGTGCGATCTCAGCTCACTGCAACCTCCGCCTCCTGGATTCAAGAAATTCTCTTGCCTCAGCCTTCTGAGTAGCTGGGATTAGAGGCGTGCGCCACCATGCCTGGCTAATTTTCATATTTTTAGTAGATACGGGGTTTCACCATGTTGGCCAGGCTGGTCTCGGATTCCTGACTTCAAGTGATCTGCCTGCCTTGGCCTCCCAAAGTGCTGGGATTACAGGCATGAGCCATTGGGTCCGGCTGATAATCTCCTTTAACTCACAATTTTTTATAATTAGGAAATTCAATTTATCTATTTTATGTTTTTGTGCTTGTCCTTTTGCAGAAATTGCCAAATCCAAGGTTATGATTTTCTCCTATGTTTTCTTCTATGCATTTTATACCTTTAATGCTTAAATTTAGGTCTCTGATCCAGTCTGAGTTAGCTTTTGAATATGGTGTAAGGTAAGGGTCCAACTTCATTCTTTTGCATGTAGATACTCAGTTTTACCAGCCCCATTTGTTGAAAAGACTGGCTTTTCTCCATGAAATGGTCCTAGCACTCTTGTTGAAAACGACTGGCCATATAGGCAAGTGTTTACTTCTGGGCTCTATTCTATTAATATTCCGTGGGTTTTTATGTCCATCCTTATTCTAGTTGCACACTGTTTTGCTGACTGTAACTTTACAGTAAGTTCAGAAATCTGGAAATCTGAGCCCTACAACTTTGTTTTTCCTTTTAAAGATTGTTTTGGCCATTTAGGGTTCCTTGAAATTCCATATGAATTTTAGGATCAGTTTTTCCATTTCTGTAAAAAATGCCATTGGGATTTTGACAGGGACTGAATCTAATTTGTAGAATGTTTTGGGTAGTATTATCATCCTAACAACATTAAATCTTCTAATCCATGAATATGGGATGTCTTGTGTCCATTTGGTTAATTTATTCCTAAATGTTTTCTTCCTTTTTTTTTTTTTGAGACAGGGACTCACTCTGTCACCTAGTCTGGAGTGCAGTGGCAACATCATGGCTCACTGCAGCCTACCTCCTGGGCTCAAGTAATCCTCCCACCTCAGCCTCCTGAGTAGCTGGGACTACAAGCATGAGCCACCATGCCCGGCTAATTTTATTTTATTTTTTATAGAGACAGAGTCTCCCTATGCTGCCCAGGATGGGCTTGAACTCCTGAGCTCAAGCAATTCTTCTGGCCTTGGCCTTTCAAAGTCCAGAGCCATCATGCCTGGCTGTATTTTTTTCTTTTTGATGCTATTGTACATGGAATTGTTTTCTTAATTTCCTTTGTCAGACTGTTCATTGCTAGTGTACTATATACAATTTTATTTTGTGCCTTTTCACATAACCTATACCAGAATCATTTTTCTAGATTGTTAATAGTATGGTATTTATATTATTAGCGGTTACAAAACTGCCTACCAAAGCCAATGTATCATAATTTACACTATGTATAGTAATAAATTATAAGTCAGTATAAACAATATATAAAAATTTACATAATTTATGTTAGCATAAACAATATTACAACAAATCTTTTCAGTGCTGTAGTTTTTTTTCTTAAGTTAGTATTTGCTTTGTTAATTTTTTTTCAGGATAGAAGACACACTAGGCTAAGGGGTATGACTATTTAATGCTCTTAACACACAAGACAAAAGTTTTCTCCCAAAGGATTTTTATCAACTTATATATACACAACCATAGTTTTAAAAAATTTACTTGTTTTTGTTCTTTATTTTTTTTCCTAAGCAAATGGTAATTGTATGTCACTACAAAACTAAATAAAGCATTATCAGTGTCAGCAAGCTCCTACTTTGGTATATAATGAGTTCTTGAAAAAGGTACTCTATAGTTGGATAATCACAACAAAATGGTGGATATCTATTATTAGGGTGAAAGGGTAAGGAAGGGGGTATTTATTACACAAAACAAAATGACAGAATTCCTAACTATTCTATGACCTTTAGATACTATTTGGCGATAAACGTCTAGCCTTTTATATATGTTTAAACATTTTTCCATTCTTTTTGTCATAATTGCTAAAAAGTTCCATTAAAGATTTACTGTTTTCCTGGGACAAGAAATGATTTGTATTTTTTTCCTCAAATGAATTATGTTCATGAGATCTATATACTTTTAAAGTATTAAGACCTTTAAGAGTATACTTTAGCATATCAATTTTTTGGTTTTCCACTCATTTTAATAAAATAATGAGTGATTAGAAGCCCAGGAGCTGAAGAAGCAGGGAACAGTGGGATGGATATAGTGGAAAGCATGGTGGGAGGCAGAAAGAATCAAGGATAGTAATGAGAACATTGTTAAAATGATCAGCCATGAGGTTGGCTGGGTAAGGAGGACACTGAAGCCAAAAGGGGGCTGACCAACTGTTAGAGGATGTCTGCTTGCACATAGAGAACTATTCTGTAAAAGCATTTATTCATCTAAATTGTACAGGAAATTTTCTGATAGTTATATTAACTACAGCCCAGGAAAAAAAATCTTCAAAAAAAAATTAAAAAAAAAAAAAGAAGGAAATGAATAGTGAAAGAAAAGAAGGCTACTTTTTTGGGGGAACACATTTCATTATAGTGAAAGTGGAGCCATAAAGAAAAAAATACCATGAATAGCTTCTATAGTTTGGGTTTTAGAATGTTTTTTTTCTTTGCTTTGGTAATTATTCTTTAAAATATATTACAATGTCACTGGAATCTTATTATTTTACTAAGTTACTTTATGAACATTCAAATATGCAGCTGGACAAAAATAAAACTAAGTTCTACTAACCTGTATAACCAGTTTGTCTAGTCAATTAAATCAAACAATTGCCTTGGCTTTGTTTTCACAGAACTGACCCTGACTGAATAAACTGAACTGACAAGTTGCTTTGTGTTTCAAAGTGCAGAACAGTTCAAGTGTGTGTGTGGGGAAAGGGTGGCAGGGAATAACTAAGAACATTTATGAATTTCAGTTAACTTCTGTCTAGAATGAGCTGTTTAAAACATACCAAATCTAATTTCAATTGCACAAAACATAACAGCAGCAGTCTCAATTATTTTAGTTGCACAAAATATACAGCAGCAGTCTCAATTATTTTAGTTCAATTTTTTCATGAAAGTAGTTACATATATTAGGTTTTAATATATACATATATTTTTTTGAGACAGGATCTCACTCTGTTGCCTAGGCTAGAGTGCAGAGCCACAGCTCACTGCAGCCTCGACCTCCCAGACTCAAGTGATCCTCCTACTTCAGCCTCTTGAGTCGCCAGGACCACAGGCATGCACCACCATGCCCGGCTAAAGGTTTTAGTATTATAAACAAAGTTAAGGGCCAGAAGCCTTACTTTCAAAAGGTATCTTTAACATAAAACCTATAACCGCCTTACTCTGGATAATAAATACTATAATAATGCTGTTAGTGTTACAGATACATTTCTTTATAAACCTGTTTGTAGGCTTCTAAATCCCCAAAGTTGATTTTCATTTGTCAGGAAAAAAGTACATATCTCTGAATAAAAAGTGATGCTAATTCCATGTTTGAAATAAACATAATTTATTAGAATTTAATTCCTTCAATAGAGTTTTCAAAAATCTTTCTGTACCTATAATAATTACTATTCAAAAAGTTTTGCAATTGCTCACATTGCCTATTGTTAGTAATCTTTTTCTTATAGGAAAGCCTTAGTAATTAGTGACTCAGGAATCATATACGTAATAAGTGACTCTAGATAAAACCCATGACACAACATTTTACAGAAGTGTTATTCTTCCTTTGTTTCAATAACCTGTACATATGATTCAGAGAAAAGTAACCCCTGATTAAAACATCATTATATCTTTTGATTCAAGTACTAATTTAACTTAGATGAGAATCTAAAATTACAATTTTTCTCTTAAAATTCAAATAAACTAATATAAAGGTGACTACATTTTGCTGCATGTTTTTCCTACATGTGGAGTTTTTTTCCTTGGGGAGTTTACTTTCACAGAAACTAGAAATGAAGTTCTTTATTGCCAGGAATAAAATGAATACTGCTGAGTGGAATTTAACATTGAGTTGCTTTCTGTCTATAAAATATATGCAAGTGATACTTTCTAGCAGTGGTGGTAGTTTGTACAGAATCAGTCACATATCCTTGCTTAATCTTTTTAATCGTGCTAGGAATGAAAAAGGCCTGCTTGAGGTCCGATAGGGGGGCAACACTTTGGTACAACTTCTCTATGTTCTCAATTGCTGGGGAAAATGTAAAAAAAAATAGTGATTTCTGGCTGGGCGTGGTGGCTCATGCCTGTAATCCCAGCACTTTGGGAAGCCAAGGTGGGTGGATTGCTTGAGGTCAGGAATTTGAGACCAGCCTGGCCAACATGGCAAAACCCCGTCTCTACTAAAAATACAAAAATTAGCCTGGTGTGGTGGCGCATGCCTGTAATCCCAGCTTCTTGGGAGGCTGAGGCACAAGAGCTGCTTGAATCCAGGAGGTGGTTGCAGTGAGCCGAGATCACGCCACTGCACTCCAGCCCGGGTGACAGAGGAAGACTCTGTCTCAAAAAACCCAGAAAAACAAACCAAAAAATAAGTGATTTTTGGGTCCTACTAGTGATTCTGGTGGGCCCCAGTCCTACTGAATCAAAATTTCTCAGGGTTGGGTCTCAGATTCTGATAATCAGCCAGATTTGAAGAATACAGTCCTAGTGATCTTGGACTTGATGTAGGCCACTCCATCCAAATTAGTACGTAAATCATTTTACGTCTTGAACTTGTAATCCTCCCTACTAATACCAGTTCCTTCTCTCATGTTCCCACGTGATTAACATTATCATCTTTAACAGCGGTAATATTTAACTGATACATTTCAACCAATTAAAATATTGGTGAAACTCTGTGTCTCAGGTATGACCTCTTTGTCGCTGGATTACAGGCAGGTCTCAGGAGAGGGGCCACAGGACAGATGAGACTGTGGTGGAACGGACAGTGGGATCTTAGTGTAGAGCTATTTACCAGTGTTTCTGCTAGTATTTTATTATGTCAATAATTAAAGCAAGGACATGGTAGTTGATTATCAGCTCCGCTTTTGGTCTTAAGATCCACAAAGTATGGTCCAAGTAAGGAAAATTCATGAATGGGATGTTAAAATACTTGAGAGTAACCAGCATGGAAGTGATGACTGAAGTCATTGAAGTAGATAGAACTATAGAACATTACTACTTCAAATTGTGGCCCTGCATTCCTTTTTTTTTTTTTTTTTTTTTTTTGAGATAGGGTCTTGCTTTGTCATCCAGGTTGGAGTGCAGTGGCGGAATCATAGTTCACTGCAGAGCTTGTTAAAAATCCAGATTTCTGGACTTCATTCTAGACTTACTTAATCACAACCTCTGAGGGCAGGATCTAGAAGCCTGTTTTACATTTTAAACAAGAATCTTACGTGATTCTTTTTTTTTTTAAGAGGCAAGGTCTTACTCTGTTGCCCAGGCTGAAGTGTGGTGGCATTTCAGCCTCAAACTCCTCGGCTCAAGAGATTTTCCCACTTCAGTCTCTCAGGTGGCTAAAACTATAGTGCATGCCACAACAACTGGCTAATTGTTTTTTTCTTTCTTTCTTTCCCCCCTGCCCGAGATAGGATCTCACTCTGTTGCTCAGGCTGGAGTGCAGTGGCGCAATCACGGCTCACTGCAACCTCTGCCTCCCAGGTTCAAGCAATCCTCCTTCCACTTCAGCCTCCCAAGTAGTTGGGACTATAGGTGTGCGCCACTGCATTCAGCTAAGTTTTGTAGTTTTTTTTTCTTTTTTTAGAGATAGGGTCTTGCTATATTGCCCAGGCTGCTCTTGAACTACTGGCCTCCAGTGATCCATCCTGGCCTCCCAAGTAGCTGGGCTTAGAATTTTATTATTATTTTTTTATTTCAAGAGTTTTTGGAGAACAGGTGGTATTTGGTTACATGATTAAGATCTTTAGTGGTGATTTCTGAGATTTCGGTGCACCCATCACCTGAGCAGTGTACACTGTACCCAATGTGTACCCTTGTATCCTCCACCCTGCTCCCACCCTTCCCCATGAGTCCCCAAAGTCCACTGTATCATTCTTATGCCTTTGCATTCTCATAGCTTAGCTGTGACTTGTAAGTGAGAGCGTATGATGTTTGGTTTTCCATTCCTGAGTTACTTCACTTAGAATAATGGTCTCCAACTCCATCCAGGTTGTGTGAATGCCGTTATTTCATTCCTTTTTATGGCTGAGTAATATTCCATGGTATATATACATACCACATTTTCTTTATCCACTCATTGACTGATGGGCATTTGAGCTGGTTCCATATTTTTGCAATTGTGAATTGTGCTGCTATGAATATGAGTGTGCAAGTATCTTTTTCGTATAATATCTTCTTTTTCTCTGGGCAGATACCCAGTAGTGGGATTGCTGGATCAAATGGTAGATCTACTTTTAGTTCTTTAAGGAAGCTACACAGTTTTCCATATTGGTTGTACTAGTTTACATTCTCACCAGCAGTGAAAAAGTTTTCCCTTTTCACCACATCCATGCCAATATCTATTTTTTAAAAATTTTTTTCATTACGCCATTCTTGCAGGAGTGAGGTGGTATCACTTTGCAGTTTTGATTTGCATCTCCCTGATAATTAGTGATGTTGAGCATTTTTTACATGTTTGTTTGCCATTTGTATATCTTCTTTTGAGAACTGTCTATTCATGTCCTTAGCCCACTTTTTGATGGGGTTTTTTTCTTCCAGCTAGAATTTTTGATGATTCTTATACTCACTGGGCTTGATTCTAGACTTCGTCTAATGTTTTAGAATCTCTCCTGAGGTGTAAGAACAGAGAAAAGGGCAGGCACCCGAGGGACACCTACATTTAAGGGCTAGAAGATGAAGACATCAGCTAAATAGACTAAAGAGCCATCAGAGTTACAGGACGAGAGCCAGGGAGAATTGTGTTGTAATGCCAAAACAGGACAGAATTTCTAGAATATCCATAATGCCATGCCACAGATAGATCAAATTGTATAGGCTCTGAGAAGAAAATGCTGGCCATTCAGAGGTCATTAATGACCACTGAGGAGAGTGTAGCTGACATGGGAGGAGAGAAGAATAAATTAAGCACAAAGATAGGGTATTAACTTTTGAAAGTTGCCTATGCCAATACCACTTCCCCCATGTATGTATGTGTGTCAGTGGTGGTTGGCATTTGGTCACACACACACATACACACACATACTTTGAAGGGGGTACTAAAGAGGAGAAAAAGGGTAAGGAGAGATACTGAAAAAAGGAGACAGATAATAGAATTGATAGCTTTGGGATTAGAAGTGATCTGCAATGGAGATAATGGGAAATAGGATGGAGACAGAAAAATAAAAACACTGGGCAACAGTAGTTAAGGGCCTAGTTGATATTCAATAACATGAATTCATAATGCTTCCAAGCAGGACGAGTCACACAGATTTCCACAAGAATTTTTCAGTATTGTTACTGCAAAACCTAAGAATTTTCTCTCTCTTGCCTTTCTTCCATTAAATATTTATAGGCTAATTATCAGATTGTAAGATAATATGCTAAAGGTAGAAATTGTCAAGAAAAGCCTGCTGTATAAATTTGGCCACAAAGCAATCTAGAGAGATGGTGAATTCTAGTACTCAGATGGCTGACAAAGTCCAAGGATAGGCAGGAAGAAAAGTAAAACGAGGAGGGGCTTGACAGATTGGAAAAATATGGAAGGGCTTTATGAGACAGGGACTTGTAATGAGTCCAAATAAAGTACAAATTTAGTGGGAATGAAAGAACTAGGAGAGCTGGAAGGAAAGGAGATTAGGGTTAGAGAACAGAATTTGAGTTCAAGTGTTTGCAACTTCTTTCTCCTTCAAAGCTACCTTTGAGAAATTAATTTTAATGTGGTTCAACTGTATAACATTGCTGATTGGGATGTGTGTGTGTGTGTATGTATGTGTGTGTATAAAGAATTTGCATTGTGATTTTCAAATAGCTCTGAAACGAAAAAAATTATAGTCACTCATGAGTTTTCGAGGAACAACCGGCAGGTAAAAAATTTAAACAATTACCTTATTTGTTTGACGTATAAACAGAATATAATTTATAAATAAGTCATTGTTTTTCCCACTTCAGTGGTGGTTGGCATTTGGTAATGTGCACATACACACACACACACACACACACACACAAACACACACATTTATATGACCTGGTGTTTGCACCTATACAAGCATGATTTAAATAACAAATACTAGCATACTGTCTGGATCCATATTAACTGAATTTTTTCCCAGAATGAACCATAACCAAGACTTCCTGGATTAAGCACTTGGCAAGGTTAGACACAGAGCTACTACTACAATGAAAGTGAAATGTTTTGTCCATGTAATGAATCAGCCATTCATATGGAAGATAAATGTTATGTCCAACATAATTAAAATATTACTTTATATGTAATTCCATATCAGAACAACCTCAAAAATAAGTAACAGAGTGATAACAGTTAATAATAATTTCTGAGCATCTGCCCTCCCAACTCCAGGTCCTATCTCCATTGCTCTGTTTCCTCCAATCCTAGAGGATCCAGGTGGCTCTGCCACAGCCTCTGTGGCTCTGTGACCTGCAGATACTGGGAGTACTGTAGGGAGGATACCAAGACATGATGGTGGACTGGAGACAGTGTTAGCATACCTCTCCTACTTGGAAAAACAAAGTATGTGTAGAGATTCACACTGTGAACTTTTTTTCACAAGAAGCAACACAAGAATTTAACAGAAGAACTGAAAAAAACCACAGATCCTTTAAAAGAAGTGGTGGCAGCAGCCTACACTGTGAACCAGATGGAAAACTCTGAATCTCCAGAGCATAAGATGGGGAGACTCAGCCACCAGAACACACACTCCCACAGCAAAGCTGGGCAGCCCAGGCCACAGGGGAAGGCCTTAACCCTACTCAGTATGGGAGCCAATTTAGTGAGCGTGGAGAATACATGAGAAGGAGTGGCATCAGGATGTGCTTTGCACGCACTACCAGATTCCAGCGGGGATGGAGGAAAGCCATTCCTGATCCTACCTCACAGAAGTCTGCTCAGTAACTCAGGCTGTAGTAACAGGTTGAAAAGAGCTCCTGAGATTCGCAATATGATTTTAAGTGGAGACTAACCCTGTCGGCCAGAACCAGGGGGCTGGCATGAAGTGTGCTATAGTGCAGAAGTTGGGCGCCCCTGCTTCGCAGGTGGATAGGGAGGGGCATGGCCTGAAAGCCTGGTTTCTATCGCTGGCAGGAAGGCTTACTGCTTGGGGCAGTTTTGTGTTCTAAGTGTAGACTGCCTGGAACACAGCTAGTTGCTGTTAGCAGAATACTGAGGGTATGGGACTTGCTGTGCCAAGTGCATGGGAGCTGAGTGGGCCTTACTGCCTTCTACTACTCCCTCCTGCTCCCACTCCCTGTGTGGATTCTTCTGTGCACCAGAGGCAGCTCTGCTCCCCTCTGGAACATTACCCCAGTGGCCAGAAAGCTGTTCTCTGATCCCCACTGGGGACACTGCTTGTGCTTGTACCTGGAGAGCCTGAGTGAGGACTTGCCTGGTCCAGTCCTCACCAGGCTTTGCCACTTTATGAGCCCTGGTAGCATAACACAATGGACAGGGATATTTGGAGGCTCCATAGCCCCGCCCATTGCCTGAGACCCCAGAGTGCCTGCCCTGGGTAACATAAGGCAAGCACAAATTCCACTACTACCACCGCACCTGGTACTCTTTTGCAAGCACCACCTCCTGGCTGGTAGCCAGGCACAGCCCATTATGACACCTGAAGGCAGAATAACACAGCACTCAGGAAGGAGAAAACTTCTGCATGCCCTCAGCTGTTGCCATTGCCTGCATTGCCTCGGCTAACCAGGAGGTCTTGAGTCTGTCCATGTGCCCAGTACATTACTGCTACTGCTGGCATCTGAGAAAGCCAACACTAAGGTTATTTGTAACTAAGGAAATCTCAGAGTCTA